>NC_000012.12:42914673-43066188 GCF_000001405.40 Homo sapiens | reverse complement strand
GTTAATGGTCATGTCTATGATGTTTATTTTTGTAACTATAGAAAAAATCCCAATTCCTTAAACTTAGTAAGCATTCAGTAAACATGTTTCAAAGAAAATATTTCATGTATTCTTAAAAAGAATTCCTTAGCTGCAAGCTCTGTTTTTACTACTCCACATGTCACTAGACTATTAACTCTTTGCTCTGACAAAAACAGTCTGAATTTCATCACAGAACTCTGGGAAAATTAAACAAAATTATTGGAAGAAAACAGAGAATTTTATGTTATATTTAGGAGAGTGACAGATTTATTTTAGATTTTCAATAGGTGGATAGATAGACTTATAGACTTAAATGTACATAAAAATATATGTAATTTATATATAAAATGGCATATATTATTGCATATATACATTATTTATATATGGTATATACATATATTTATATATATATAATGGCATACATATTATACATATATAATGGCACAATGGCACAATAGAACAAATACATAGCTCTTACAACTATAATAATTAAGACCATGCTGAAACATGAGGAAATATTATGACATGATGTTCAGTTAAAAAGCATAATGCAAAATGAATGGTAACTTTGATATAATCACATGTATATAAAATGAATATACATGTATAAAAATGAAGGTCATGAATAAAAATGAAAATGGTTATACTAGGATTTATTATTATGAAGAAAAACCCACTCATGTTTTACATCATCATCCTTTGTATCAAAAGTACAAATAGGGACAAAATGCACAATGAAAACCTTTTACATAACTTTTGCAAAGTTGATCTTAAAAGCTAAATTACATCAGGCTGCAGGTAACAGATATCTCAGTGTTGTTACATTTGCTTTAAGCAGCAATGCATCTGGAGCCATGTAACAAGAGATCATTCTTAAACAAAACTGGAGACAATAGAGCCTTTTTAGGCAAATTAAATTGGTATTTTTTTCTATAAATATTTCAGATATTTAGACTTTGGTCTTTTATCTGTTCACAAAGCCAGTATAGCAAGAGAAACAAAATAAAATATAAGACTTTAAGCCTGGATCCCATCACTCAGGACATGAAGATAATAATGTTTATTTCTCTGAAATAAATTTTTTATTTCCCTGAGTTAAAAGGAAAATAATGGTATTTTCATTTGAAATGTATCCAAAGACAATGAACTTATTTTAAGATTCATTATTTAAGTCAATAAACATTACCCTGTGACAGGCACTGTGCCACCCAGTGGGCCACAAATATGGTAAAGTGCCATGTCCACCTTCATTCAAGACCACAGCAGACAGCAAATATTTGTCATGGGTGCCACCCAGGCCTATGGCCCAGGGCAAAGGGGGCACAGGGGAAGGTAATTTGATTCCTTCTGTGAAGAGGCTTTCTGTGGAAGATGACCTGGTACCGGCCTTTGAAGGATGGTGAGAGTTTTTCTTCAAGTATAGAAGAGAGAAGAAAAGCAGTCAATACTGAAAACAGGATAACTAAGGTCATGTGAAGAACAGTTTTTAAAATCACCTAATTTTTCTTGACTAGAGAGGAATGCAAAAGATAAAAAAAGTATATTTCCTTTTATTTTATAGACGTGGCTGACTTGTCCTTTAATAGAAACAGAGTAGTTCATTTGTTCAGTTATATATACTTCATAATAGGCATTGGATCTAACTTATTAACTTTATTAAAAAATTCATATTCTTTGATTAAAAACCTCCAGGGAAAAATATTAATGGAAGAAGTTATAATATACTTATGCTGAAAGAAAAAATTTACTGGTTATATAATTTTAAAAAATGTTTATATATACATGGCAATTCGTATTCCACCTGCAGGGTGGCAGAAAATTGTGTTTAGAATTACTTTTAAAATTTAATTCCAGCAGATTAATTTTCATATGGACAATTGATTTGTTTTCCTTTTTAAATGTCAATGCTGTTGTTATATAAGACAATAAATGTTAGTTGACAATGTAAGTAATTGTACTACAAAATAGCATCTGCTACAAGGCATTCAAAGCCACCTGCAACAAATCTTCTATATCTAAATTGTAAATACATGCCTTTTATTATGCAAGCCTTTCCTTATATAATATGGAAACCAATGGCCTTTTAATTTGATGTCTTGAAATGGACAAAATGAAAGACACATGTGAACTTAGCAGCCATTAACAAATTCACTGAACACTTCAGACATGTACATGTGATTAAAAAATGTTTACCTTTTGGAGAAAATATAGAAGAAATGTTACTGCCCAAGTCATGCTCTATTTTTCACTGTGCCTATTGCACGTGGACAGTCTAACGTCAGACGTTCCTCTGAGTCAGGCCAAACTGTGCAAGGGCAAACACCACCACATTCCTAGTCAGTGTTCCATGCTTTAATTCCACAGAGAGATCCTATTTCATGTGTTTTTCATTTTAAGTTCTGCCTTCTTGAATGCTATTTCCTTTCTTTTGGTTTTCACCAAGATCAAAGAAATCTCCAGCAAATAAAAAATGCAAATGTCCAGTGGTGTACTGGAAACCTGCCCATCCAGTGTACAAACAACCCTAGACTTAAAGTTAATGAGATCACTCAGGACACTACCAAGTTGACATCAAAATTCTAATGGTCAAGAACAAGCACATATTTATTAAAGACATTAACTATGATGACTTGAGCCAATGTCTCCTTTTTCGTGCTGTCTCCTGGGGGGTATCTATAGGGGTGATCACCACAGGCATGATCAATCAGTAAACAACATCCAGGTAAAAGGGTCTCTAATTCTCCTCCCTACACATCCTGTCATTCCCTGACTATAGAGGATCTCAACATACTAACACTCGCTGAGAGTGTCAAAATAGAACCTCCAAGATTCTCATGCTGAAAATGCCAGATAAAACCTATACAGAACTGTAGTGTGAGCACAAACCCAAAAAGCAATTCCATCCTTCTACATATGGCACCCTCATAAGTAATCTTTTCCTCTTCTCATTTCTCATAAAGCCTTGTAGCATTTGATGGTTAGAGACTGAATATCAGATGTGAATGAATATTGCTTTGCAGAAGCCTTCAGCAAAGTTTGTCAAAATATGCTTTAGGAAAACAAAGCAACCAGTTACCAATTACCAGATGAAGAAATGATTAGGATTCAATTTTCAAAAGAGCTACTCAATTATGCACACTCTTCACTGCCTCGTTATGCACACATGTATGTTGAACAATTAGAATTTTATCAGTAAATTAAAGCTGGACTTACTATGGTAATTATAATACATTAAAGAGCCTCTCTCACCATGAATTTTATAAGTAGGTTTCAAAGATATTCAGAAAAGTGGTTCTTGCATTCTTAAAAGCAAACAATTTATTAAATTTCATTGTAGCAACCTTCAATTTATATAATGAGTCTTCATTTTGGTGTTTTCTTATGTTAAATATCAGCCAAATGCTCCTATGACTAAATTACTTGCTGTATAGCATTTTCCTACATAAAATGTGGAGAAACAGCCTCCTGGAAGTCATTAAAAATGCATTTCTAAGTATATGTTTTTATATAGATGTTCCAGAAAACAATTCAATGTGAAAAATATTGGACTCATTTGCCTTGTTAAAACCAATTGTGTGCTAATAACATGAATGTTTAAAAAATCCATATTCCACTTCTGTTATCTCTTAATGTTTCTCAATTTTCTAAAATTAATGTATTCATTCAAGAAATATTTTTGAGCACTTATGTCACTGGCACTGTGCAAAGCACAGAAGACATTAATGTGAGTAAGAGATTATAGTCCCTGTGGGGTGGTGAGGGGCAGGATACAATGACAATGATTTAAGATGTGTTTAGTCAGTATATCACTGGGACTTGGTGATTGTTTGAATAGAGACGGAGAAAGAGAAGTCAAAGAAGACTTCTAGGTTTTTAGAGTTGATGAGAAGGCATCTGCTGGTGTAAATCTCAAAGCTAGGAAAATGAAACAAAGAACAGATACAAAGGAAAAGAGCTAAGATGAAAAGTTGAAGAGTTTGAGGTGCCAGCAAGATATCTAGACATCCACATCTAACAGGCAATTGATATCAGGAGAGTCACCAGGCTAGAGAAACACTTCAGTAAATGAAAGAGACTGCATAGGATGTGTGCATTGAGTGGAAAGAGGGGGTAGAAGGGGTGGGGCCAAACTCTGAGGAACACTAACATTTAAGAGAAAGATGGAGTCAGAGGAATCTGAAAAAGAAACTGATAACAAGTGGCCAGAAAGAAAGAGTAAGAAGAAATTCCAGCCGTGTATGGTGTCAGGATCTCCATGGGTACAGCATGTACTGAGAAAGAGTAATTAAGAGCCAAGGAAGTCAAGGACTGAGAAATATCCACTGGGTTTACCATTAAGGAACTAAGTCTCACTTTAGGAGGACAGTTTCAGAGGGATGGGAAATGAAAGGGAAATAAAGGAGACAGTGACCACAGACACTTCTTCCAACATGGACAATAAGAGATGGCAGAGAATGGAGGGGGTCTGGAGTTTTCATTTTAAAGCCCTAGAGGAAGGATTTTAGTTGTATAAGAAGGGTGAGACTGCGACTATTTAGCCACTATTGAAAGGGAGCCTGTGGAAGGGAGGAGATTAGAAATAAGAGCATGAGAGGGTACATTATCAATGACCTCACATTTAAAAAGTAAGAAATACTTCCACCAATAATGTAAATGGAATTTGGTTATAGATAAATAAGAAGTTTTTCTCAAATCTAGTATTACAGTATCTCTGTATAGCAATCACTTCCTGATCAATCATTTACTTACATATATATATATGTATTTTATATATATATATATAAAAAATACTTCCTCCCACAAAGGTCTTGAGGTAGCTAACAACAAAATAATAACAAAAATCAAAAGTATATTACAAAATTGCAAAGTAAATATGGAAACTGGGGCTAAGAAGGATAGAAAAATAATAAAACCAAGTATAATAAATATATAAAAAACCTTGTATATTTGCTAGTACTGAGTTAAAATCTGGCTCTGAGCCACCTAGCAACCAAAGCAAAGAGAGAAATGCTAAATGGTACAAGGTTTTGTGTCCATAAAATGAAGACAAATGAATGGTCTAGAGGAGACATAGCTTCTTCTTAAATCAAGACCAGAGAGGAATTTTTTCACTGTCCTTTCAAAGATGACACAGTGAGGGAAAAAAATGCCTTCCTTACAATATGTCAGCAACTGATAAAGCAACAAATTTCAAACACCTGTTTCTAAAAATGTGCCCCAATACGTCCTAAAAGGAAATGATACCAGATGGCAATTAACTTGAGTTCCAAGAATGCAGAACTCTAACATCTGGTTTGATAAAGGGACTAATTTAGAATATCTTCGAGGAATGGAAAAGCTGCATGCCCTGGCAGTATTCCTTCATAAATATTATTAAATAGCATTTTTCTCAACTAGCATGATAATAAGGTTTATACAGCAGAGAATTAAAGGTTGGATTTTATGGCAAGAACCTTGGTAGCCAATCAGTGTTGAGAGGTAGCAAAAAATGTCCTAAGTGGTGGGCACAACATAGAGATAAAAAAATCCAGGAGTTGAGAGTAGTTGAATGTCTTTCTTTCTTTTCCTTGCCTACTTGCTCTGGCTAGGACTTTCAGTACTATGTTGAATAGAAGTGGGGAGAGGCATGCTTACCTTGTTCCTAATCTTTCCATTTTTCACCATTGAGTATGATGTTAGCTGTGGACTTTTCATATATAGCTTTTATTATGTTGAGATAAATTTCTTCTATACCTAGTTTGTTGAGTTTCTGTCATAAAAGAATGTTGAATTCTGTCAAATGCTCTTCATCATTTATTGAGATGATTGGGTGATTTTCATCCCTTATTCTATCAATTTGATGTACCATATTTGTTTATTTGCATATGTCGAACCATCTTTAGATCCCAAATATAAATCCCACTGGATCATGGTGTGTGACCCTTTCAACGAGCTGTTGAATTCAGGTTGCTAGCATTTTATTAAGGAGTTTTAAAATCTATGTTCATCAATGATATTGGCCTGTAATTATCTCTTCTTTTAGTTTCTTCGTACAGCTTTGGTATGGGTAATATTGGCTTTGTAAAATGAGTTTAGAAGTGTTCCCTCTTCTTCAAATTTTTGGAAGATTTGAAAGAAATTATATTAATTCTTCTTTAAATGTTTGGTATAATTGACTAGTGAATTCATTTGGTCCTGGCCTATTTTGTGTTGAGAAGTTTTTTAATAGTTATTCAATCCCCTTCTTTATTAGTCTGTTCAGAGTTTCTATTATTTCATGATTCAGTTTTGGTATGTTGTATGTTTCTAAGAATTTATTCATTTACTCTATGTTATCCAATTTATTGGTGTATAATTTTTCATACTGGACTCTTATGATCTTTTTTATTTCTGTGGCATCAGTTGTAATGTCTCTTTTTTTCATTTATAATTTTATTTGAGTCTTCTCTTTTTTACTTATTAGTCTAGCTAAGAATTTGCAATTTTGTTTGTCCTTTAAAAAATCCAATTCTTAGTTTCTTTATTTTTTGATTGACTTTAAACAATCTAATTTTCTAGCTATATGAAAATTGTTATATTAGTTATAGTACATACAAATGATTCAATTAAGTGATTGGAGAATTAAGAATCATGGTTTTGTGTTTTTACAAAACATACACCCTAATCTTTTATTATTAGCTTCAACAGAAATAACATTACTCTCATTACTATAAGAGTATCTGAATACTTACTCTCAATTTCTGTGCTGATCTAAGACAGTGTCTTGCTCTGTCGCCCAGGCTGGAGTGCAGTGGCGTGATCTCAGCTCACTGCAACCTCCACCTCCCACCTCAGCCTCTCTAGTAACTGGGACCACAGGCACCTGCTACCATGCCCAGGTAATTTTTTACTTTTTCTTTCGTGGGTTTTTTTAAAATATAGAAATGTGGTCTCCCTATGTTGCCCAGGCCAGTCTCGAACTCCTGGACTCAAGCAATCCACCTACCTTGGCCTCCCAAAGTACCGGGATTACAGGCTTGAGCCACCGCACCCAGCTTCATTGATTTTTTTCTGCTGTCATTCTTTTCTCAATTTCATTATTTTCTGCTCCAACATGTATTATTTTCTTCCTTCTGCTTACTTTGGGCTTAGTTTGTTCTTTTATTTATATTAATGGCAAAAAAAAAAAAAACGCAACGACTTTTGCACCAACCTAATAGTTGCTTGAAGTGTAAAGTTAGGTTGTTTATTTGACAACTTTTATGTTAATGTAGATATCAATTGTTATAAACATCTTTCTTAGAACCTGTCTCGATGTTTACTAGCTATTCAATGAGGTTTTTCCAACACTATACATATTAGTGCGTCATTCAAACTGGATTTACAAGTCAGCATATTTTTTGGCAGTTTTGCATTTGGAACATTGCTGTCGCATACAAAAGTCTAAGGTTATGATTTTCCTGGAACATTTTAGAAATAATGATATTCTAGATTTGTGGATGGAGTTGATTTATATGGCATTCTACTACTTAAGCACCACATTAACTGACATTTTTACATTTTTAGAGTAAGATAATTGTGTTAGGCTGTTCTTGCTTTGCTATAGAGAAATACCTAGTGCTGAGTAATTTATAAAAAAAAGAGGTTTAGTTGGCTCACAGTTCTGCAGGCTGTACAAACATGGTGCTGGCATTAGCTTGGATTCTGGGAAGGCCTCAGGGAGCTTTTATTCATAGAGGAAGGTGAAGTATGAGCATACACATCACATGGCGAGAGTGGGAGCAATGGCGGAGGGGATATGCCATATATTTTTAAACAGTCAGATCTCATGAGAACGCACTCAACTATCACTGGAACAGTACCTAGGGGATGGCAGTAATCGTTCATGAGAAATCCAACCCCATGAGCCAATCACCTCCCACCAGGCCCCATCTTCAACAGTGGGGATTATAATTCAACATGAGATTTAGGGGGGACAATATCCAAACTAAATCAATAATAATTGATAATTATAATAAAAACTTGCAGCAATATTGTCAAATTATTTCTCTAGAGTAGTTTAAAAGGTTTGTCATTGAGGCTTTGCTTACACATTTTTTGAGCAAGTCTAAATAATTAGCATAATTTGATTTTTGAGAATTTCAGAATCCATGTTTTGTGAAACACTAAATTATTTTATTGTTTAAGCCATTTTCAATTAGATATGTAGTCACTTGAAACTGAAATTATCCTAACTGATACAGTAGGCAGATTTAGCAAAGCCAGTATTTTCTTGGTTGATTTGGGATAGGTTTGTGTTTGAGAACATATTTGTTTATGTTTTATTACCAACTTGTACTTAAATATACTTTAGTTTGCAAAACTGCAATGGGAAATAATTTATGTTTAATTACATTTTAACTAGTCATTCTCTTGCCATGAAAATCCATGAAACTGGCATTAATCCAAAATAGTTTTGATGTGAGTCCAGGAACACAGCAAGAGTTTTTGATGAAATTGTCTGAAATATAGGACTACTGTTTAATTCAGGGCTCAGCATTTAGACTATTGAATTCAATTTCTTGTGCACTAGTGTGAGAATTAAAACAAATGGCAGTTTAGGTTTTTCCTAGTCAACTGTAAGGCCACCATGACAAACATCTGCATAAAGAGTTAAAAGTTTAGTGAATTATTTTTGTCTTTTATCTAAAAAATATCAAAACTCTAAATATTAAAAGCATCAATATGTTCAATAATCTGTAATCAAACATTCAGATGATGGTGGATTTGTTCAGTATTTATCTAGATGTTTTGTGTCACCATGAGCGGGACTACTACCTACTGAACATCGTCTTACCAAGAAGTAAATTCTGTGAGCATAAAATATTGGTATGTGCCCGTTATTATTTTTTCAACACAAGGAAAATATAAACTCACTAAGAGCCATAAGAGGTTAAATGTTAGCATCATTTGAGTGAGTCTGTTTCAAAATATTTCCATGTCAATGTTCCAGCAACCAAAAATTGCATGTATCTACTTATTTACAAATATGACATCAATGCATCATAAGCATAATAATTATAATAAAATATTAAGCCCCATGATTTATGGGAATTAAAATAGAATCAAAAAGAGAAAATAAAGATCATCTGATTACATACCATCTTTGTCTGGGTTCAGTTAGGGAAACAGAGCTATCACATGTGTTGAGAATAAAGTGGTATAAATAATATAGTAATTACAGATTTTGTGAATGTGTGAAGAGATAGGCAACAGAAAGAACAGATAGACAGAACATCAGAGAAACAATTACTTGTGACATCAGCCTACATCATTAGAGGAGGTGGCCAAGCCAAAGTCACTGAGAAAGTCAAGAAGCCACTACATCTGAATGTCACGACTGTGGAAGAAGAGCTTATGGAGAGATCTGTGATGCTAGCATGCCTGGCAGTTGCAGCTGCGAAGTGGGGCTCGTGGAGAGGTCTAAAGAGACACTACATCTGGCTACCATGTCTTTCCAAGAATAGTGGCTTCTGCTTTATTTCAAACTTTCAAATCTCTTAGTAGTTCTCATTGACAATCTTCATGCCAGAACCACCCATGGAAGAAACTTCAGAGAAATGCAGTTACCAGCCTTAGAAGAATTGGTGGCTGAGTCAAGTCAACATCCACATATATCTGTTTACTAATATTTGAATTTCAAATAAAGACAGTAATGTTATGTTTTCACCTAATATTTTGCAACTATCCTTTATTCAACTGAAGATACATTGACTTCCACAAAAGATGAAACATGAAGCCCCATATCATTTTATGCATCTTGAAGTGAGGCTTATTTCTTTTCTAGATGATTCAGTCTCTGCATTCGATATCATATAGTCAAATACTGAGATACAAGGATAATCATTATTAACACATAATAGTTTATATTATTTGGGAATTGAGCAGAAAAAAGAATAATATACATAAATATATTCATAGCCAAACAGGGGAAAAATACACATACATGCCTTTTATTGTCCCTATTCATGAAACAACTCATATGGGTGTAGATGGTATTTATAATACCCTTCTTCCATAATTATTGTAAATTCTTTTGAAACGTACCAAGTACCTCGGTCAGTCCTAGTTCTTTGTCTGATACGGTAACCACATCTTTATTCTTGAAGGGTTTGTGTCATTAACAATTCTGCCTATATTTCTGTACCACAGAACATGGGAAAACTGAGAGGCCTATCAAGGAATCTTCCAGATTTCTAGCATGTTCATCCCTGGTGCCACTGTGTCCAACCAACACAATTTTCCCTTGATAATCAGGATTAATATCCTCAGCCAAAGCATAATTATTTTTTGACATGCTGTTTCAGTGTCATGAGGAGCCCTGAGTAAGCAGGTGGCTCCTGGTTACTCCTTCCTTTTCCCCATCTCAACTTCCTGTTCAATGGAACCATTGCTGTGTCCCCTGGTGGGAACATTCCTCCCTTATGACCTACAATCTCTAAACAAATGGAAATGAAAGAACAGGAACTGTGTTTTGACAGTGGGTTCTAGAGATAAATAGCAAAAGGCATTTCACTATTTTTCCTCCATTTTTCCCTCCATTTTGTTCTCTGGTTATTGACACTTCACTCTAGTAATGCCTCCAACTTCAGTAGTGAGGGTCAGTTTGCATGAGTGAAGCCCTCATAGCCTAAGCGACCTAATGCAACACTTTGATTGCTTCAGCTTAGTTTCCCCACTACCTGTGCACTGCATTGACTTTGTGTCACGTCCTGAGCAACAAATGGCATGTTTTCTGTTGGCCCTCCTGCTCCACCATCCTTTATCCTACTTTTAGTCTTAAATGTTAAAATGAGAAACTAACCAAGTCAACAGCAACAAACAAAAAACCATTGATTATTATCCCCAAATTCCTTAAATTATTCTCCTGTAGTCTAGCTTAAACAAGGAAACATATACTGTCTTTAGAGGAAATCTTTCTAGAATAACAGCAGCAACACATCACTTTATCTACAACCATAATCTGTACATACTTAATTACCAAGAACCAGCTAAGTGAAAATTCATGTAAATGGGTTTTATGAAGTGCATATGAAGAAAAGAGAGTAAAGGTCAAAGGACTACTTAGTGTAGAGAAAAGAAAGCTACAAGTTGACAATAGTCTTCCAATATCTTTCCCATTCTCATCCAGAGTTATTAATGGGAAAAATTTAGGTTAGCTTAGGTAAAAGCTTGCTAAGTAAAAACATCAAAGAGGCTGAAATGGATTATTAAAGAGAAACTTAATGAAACTAGTCTGCGGTTCCCAAAGAGTGATCTGTGTTCAGAGAGCAATGAACTATGTGACCCAAAAGGTCCTTATAATTTCTGGCTTTTTCATATTGTATCTTATTCACAGAGAGGAAATGTGGTCCCAAATGCCTGGAAATATAGTATAAATGTATGGCAGAACAAAGTGAAATCATTATCTTATGCCCATTCTAGGGGTGGGAGGAGGGTGTGGGGAGGAACTCTGGCATGCTTACATTTTGCAAAGCACTTTCTCCCATGCAGCTTTCTCTTAGGCCAGTATCCCTATGAGATAAGTATCTTTAACTCCACTTTGCAGGAATGTCTATTTAAGGTCACACAACCAGAAGAGAAAGAAGAGGGTGCATGGAATATGTATCAATCTCCTAGAATAAAGTCTATTATGGTCTCTATAAATAAAAGCTCTCATGAATAAAGTTCATTCTATATACTTTAATCAATGTTAATATAATCTGACAAATAAATGCCATTACAAGCATAAATCTTAAATATGGACATTTGTGATTAATAGAAGTATCTCGAGCTTCTCAGGCGTTATGATGACTAGCAAAATGGCAACTGCCAGCAGGATGGTTCAGGTACTTAAATTACATACTCCATTAATAAGGTTCCCTGACAGAGAGACCATTCTAAGCCCAATACATCAGAAGCTTTGAGATCAGCAGGACTATTATCTCACTCCTCTTCAATTTCACAGATTCTAAGAAAAGCAAATCACCAGCTTTGCTTACACATCAGGGTCTGCCAGACACTGCAGAAATAATAAAAACACTACCTCAGAAGAAATTTATGTCTCAAGAAGAAATCAAATTTATCCAATGTGGACTGCTGTTTGTCATAAGACAAAAAAATTGTCTTTATAATAAGTGACTTCCAAATGACAAACAAGAAATTGTACATTAAACCACATTAATAAATATTCTGCAAAAAAATAGAAAATTTATATTTTTTTACATTAGAGCAGTGTAAATCCTAATTTATGTATTTTTGTCAGCTTCTCCACAGGTTTACTTGTTTATATTCTTTATACTTATTAAAGTATACATTAAAAACAAAGAAAAGAACGATCTCCAAAATTGATTGCTACAATTTAATTTTCTCAAATTTGTCAGTAACAGAGGAGCATTGAGATTTTGAGAAAGAGTTTCTGCTTTGGAGTTTGTTAGGCCTTTTGAATCCTCTGATAGGTAAGAGCTGTATTACTTTTAGACAGTTACTTAACCTCTCTGAGCCATTATTCCTCTCTGTAAAAACAGAGAAAATAATACACACTCTGAAGAGGTGTTTTGAGCAGAAATTTCCCAACACAGTGCATCTTTCCTTCCTTTTCCCCATCTGCATTTATTTGTTCATTCTATACCTAAATTGAGGTTTTATTAGGATAAAATGGAAATCATCTTGCACCGGCATTAGATTTGCAAGACAATTGCAAATTGTAGGACAAATGTAAATAGAAATGATACAATCAGATCCTATGAACAACAGGGTTATATGTCTAATCACAGGGTGTTCAACAAAATGTTCCTGCGTTACTGAATGCTTTGAACTTATTGGGAGAATCTGGGAAACTAAGGGCATAATTCTATTAAAATGGCCTTTCCAATAGAAATACAATGTGAGCTACATGTAACTTGAAGATGTTTAGTGGCCACAAGCAAAAAAGTAAAAAGAAAACAGTAAAATTAATTTTAATAATATTTTAACCTACTATATCCAAAATATTATCATTTCAAAATGCAATCAACATAACAAATATTAATGAGGTTTTTTTTTTCTTTTTTTTTCCATACTAAGTCTTTGAAATCTGGTGTGTATTTCACATCGACAGCACATCTCAGTGTTAGTCCCATTTCAAATACTCAGCAGTCAGTTTTGGCTCATGGTTCCCATACTGAACAGTGCAACACTAGATGACAGAGCTCTGGGCAGAGATGAACATACAAAACAGAAGCCACTGGAAGGGAGCCAGCTTATTGCCCTGTAGGTAATGACAGGTTGCTAAGGTTTACTCCAGCCCAGATTTCACTCAAACCTTAGGTCTGTCCTGAGCTCCTGGGCCAGAGACCAAATGCCTTTTGGGCAGCCTCGGACCTCCTCATGAGCTTCTTTGTGAATTTTTAGAGGTTTTGGTCACTGACCTGTGAAGCAAACAAATAAAAAAAGTTAGTCTTGGGACCAATGGGATATATTCCGAAACTCCCGAAGCTCTTTGGAGGGGCGGGGAACAAAGGGACTTAAGGAATATCTTAAGAGCTGCAAAAACATTTTATGGTCCAGCTGTGGGGCCTTACGCCTTGAGTCTTCTGGGAACACCCAGGTCAGTAACGTAGCCTGCTGGCTTTGAAAAAAGAGGCATTTGGGGCAATTTATTGCCTTTCATTTGTTTGCAAAAATCAATGAGGCCTCATTAAGGAAAGGAAGGGGTTGGTCTTTCCTCTGGTTCATTTTATCTTTGTTGCTGTTTGAACAGGTGCAAAGGCTAGAATTATCTGGCGTATTTATAGGATTTTTGGACTGGAACGAACCATTACAAATTTGGTCATCAAACTTTTTAAAGCTAGCCCACTAAAAAAAAGAGACAAGCTTTAATTTTTGGACAATTAAAAAACGCACCTTTCACACTTTTCTTCTCACCTGTTAAAGGTTTTTAAAATATCTGACACCTGACATTCCAACTGCTGGTACCCCAAGTTAGCCCCTCAGTTGGACCCTTACTTGCTAAGGCTCCAAACCTCTTTGAACTCCAACTTGACTCTCCTCTTTTAGGCATCCCCACCAGCCTCCAGTTTTCAGTCTATACCATCACAACCTTCCTAAAGCACACCTCCGATCATGTCATTTCTATTACTAATAAGAATTAGTTTTAGGTGCTATGTTCCAGGCATGTGCACTCTACTCTTTTAAATCCTCACAACTCTTTGAAGTAGTAACTCTTGTTATACTCATTTTATTGATGAGAAACTGAGGGTTAGGTAAAGCCCAGGAGTAAACAATTTATAAATGGCAAAACTGGGGTTTGAACCCCGGCAGGCTGAGTCTCATTGCATGAACAAGAAGCTATCTCAAAAATAGTCAGTGGCTATTTCACTATGCATATCAAAACACTATGTTTCTCACCTTACATATATGCAGTAAAAAATTAAGAGCATTTAGAAACTTGTCTAGCATTTTAACTGAGTACTTTTATGTCTGCTGAATCTAATAATTAAAATTTGAGGCTTGTAAGAAGAATTACTCAGTGCCATCCTATTCTCTCACAAATCCAGTACAAACATTTTTATCAATTATCCCCACAATTTTCACAAACTGATGCTCTTGTTTCACACCATTTCCACTGGCTAAAATGCTAAATCTTTGCCATTTAAACCATCTTTAAGGCCCATCTTAAAGATCTCCATTTCGGCCTGAAGTGATCTTTCTTTCCTCAGGGTCCTCATAGAAACTCTTAGCAACATTCTAAATTCACATAAGACACTGTGCCCTGTGGCATAGGTTTTACGAACATACCTATCTTCATGTTTGGATGTGAAACCACTTGAGGGCCAGAGATGGAAGGGGTAGTGGACATTAGGTAGTGAACATAAGCTAGCCTGGACCCCGGAGCCCCAGCAACACTAGCTGTTTGACTTTGGGCAGGGCAATTATCCTCTATGGTCTCGTTTCCTCCTCTGTGTCCAAGAATGATGTTAATGATGCCTGAGAGGTGTACCTCTCAGGGGGGTTAAAAAGATCAAAATGAATAACAAATATTACAGTGCACAGTAACGCCCAAATGCAATACAATGTAAGAAATTCCTTGTGTTCACTGTTGTATCCCCTAAGGTGCTTAGTGCCATGCCTCACATTACAGTGGATCTATTTCTCGAATTGATACATTCATCCTTAAATTATAAAACAAACAACAAACATTTCTTAATGATCATTTAATTTGATAGGTTTAATTGTTATTTCAAAATCAAATGTTTCTTGGCCGGGTGCAGTGGCTCACGCCTGTAATCCCAACACTTTGGGAGACTGAGGCAGGTGGATCGCTTGAGCCCAGAAGTTCAAGACCAGCCTGGCCAATATGGCGAAACCCTGTGTCTACTAAAAGGACAAAAATTAGCCAAGTGTGGTGGTGCACGCCTGTAGTCCCAGCTACTCAGCAGGCTGAGGCACGAGAATCATTTGAACACAGGAGGCTGAGGTTGCAGTGAGCCGAGATTGTGCCACTGCACTCCAGCCTGGGTGATAGAGTGAGACTGTGTCTCAAAAAAAAAAAAAATCAAATATTACTTGGAAAATTTCTCTTTCAAACAGATTTTGCTTTGTATATGCTTCCAGGAAAATAATTACAATATTTTAGAACAGAGTGAAACACAGAGAAAATCACTTTTATCATTGAAAATGTAGAATATGAATTAATTAATGATCATTACATTCTTTCTTTTTACAAACATTGAAGTTATTGCCATCTGACCATCTGTATCTAAACCTAATACTGCCCATCCTATGCCATTTGGGTTTCTTATTTTAAGCAAAGTGCATCTCAAGTTGTGATTTCTATGTTTATTTGTTTGTTTTCCTTATGTCTGCATTAACATTTATAGAAGATAAAACTTGGGCCTAAGATTTTGACTTTCACTATGGTAAAGACTGGGAGAAATTATCTTCTTTTATCTTCTCACTTATCAAATCGCAAAAGTTAATTTGTAATTATGACAAAGTCCTGCCAAACTCCCCATCTTCAACTAAGTAACCAGGGAGATTTTTATACATATCAGAGAATTTAGCTTCACCAGTGAGCAATTTGCCAGGCAGTCAGCATGTTCTAGGAGTGTTTTCTTAGCCTAACAGAGAACATATGTGTCCCTGGTCATTTCTCCATTCCCTTTGAGAAGGGCACAAATTTTTAAAATAAAATATAATTATGCAACTATGTATTGCTTGTTATATTCTTCTTGCACTCACAGGACTTTGTAAGGTTGGGAAGAAGGCAGGATACACAGGAAAAACTGACCTGCTAAAGAAGCTCAAGTGATACCCCACCTGAGACTTTCCAGAAAGAGCCAGAAAGAAACTTTGGGCCTAATCCATAGCACAAAAATCCCACATCTCATTCCTTCCTGAGAAATGGGATGATTGGGGAACAGCTGTGCCTTAGATTTATAGAACTCATTTTTTCCCAAAGTGTTTAATTTTTTGTACAGATTTCAAATGCATGCCTATAAACTAAATATTTAAATAATGGTAGTATAAAGTTAACTTTTGACTGGCTTTAATATTTTTCTAGACGTTCACACATTTGACCTGGAGTCAACCTGTGAGATAGCAACCAAGCCCACAGATAGGAAATTGACAGCAGAGTGTACATATGCTCCCTTTTAAGGGAAAATTAATGCAAATTTGCACCTGAAGCCTAGAGTTCATGTATCTTTGTCCTTTGGATTCTTTTAACTTGACCTTTCAGCTTTCCATGACTTATTCTATCCTATTCACATTGAGATTTCACAAGTTCAAAGTCACTAAAATTATATATATACACATATATGTATATATATGTACATATATGTGTATGTGTGGGTGTGGGTATATATATATAGTCATTGTCAAATATATATGTATAGCCATTTAAAAATCAAATGTTCCTTGGCTAGGTGCAGTGGCTTAGGCCTGTAATCCCAGCACTTTTTTTACTACTACCATTATTTAAATATTTAATTTATAGGCATACATTTAATAGCTGTACAAAAAAATTAAACACTTTGGGAAAAATGAGTTCTGTAAATCAGTTGGTAAGATTGCCTCTTTGAAAAAAATGTAAAGATAAAAGGAGCCCAAGTCACAGTCCACATTATTTCTGCTCATTACACATTCCTAAAAAAAGAATGAGAGAGAATGCTGTTGTAATCTACATTATCTTGATTTCGCTAGTTCATTTTACAGGATTATTTTCTTGGTTATCATTCTAATAAGTGATGTATGCCATCAGCAAGGGACAATTTTAAAAGAAAAGTAGAAACAGTATAAAAACTAGAATACAATTTTTATGATTATTCATTGCATGTTATTTTCTAAGCATTGCTATTCTAAATAACAAAGCTATTGGGAAGAATTCCACAGCTTAAAATTTGATTTTAGAGCTCAATATTTTTCTTTAAAAAAAGTATAATGGTGTGCAGAATCAAGTAATAAGAGAACTATGCTGATGGTTTTAGTATTCAGCCCTTCTGATTACATTTGCATATACCCAGGCATTTTTAGAAAAAACGTAAAAGAAAAATACAGTCCTGGTATTACCAGAACAAAATGTAATGCCATTGTCCCAAATAAGCTGTCTGTTCCTAGAACAGTTTTCTTGGTGATAGTAGACATTTACATGCAAAATTGCAAATTGAGCAGGGATTCTAAACAGTAGAAATAATTTAATCACATTTAATGACAATATTTTGAAAAGTTAATTTTTCCCTCTTAATATATAAAGAGCTCTGGATAAGCAATAATGAATAATAAGCATAGAGATTAAAAAACTGAACAGATTTAGAAAAAGCAACACAAAAAATTTAAAATGGCTGATAAATATGTCACAAGCTTTTCAATCTCTCCAGTGATCTCATGGACAGTAAGAGAACATGAGACATCTGCACAGCCTAACCCTTCCAATTACTTAGTGACAAAGAAAGAGAAAATCGTTGACATGACACAGATGAATAAATTCTGCAGCACAAATTCAGGGGAGCAAATAGATTTACATAGGAATAAAGAAACTGAAAGTAGATTGCCTGTTCTATTTCTCACTGAAAAATAAGAGGACACCCCATCTAAGACAGAAGCAGCATTCTGTTCAAAATCTATTAGTAAGTGAACACATTTACGACACACTTTAGCATGGAGTACAGCCCATCCACTTCATCCTCACCTCACCAGCTTCATTTCCCACTGTTCTCCCCATCCTAACACAGCAGCACACTCCACGTTTTAGCAATTTTTAACCATTTGGAGTTCACTAAATACATCATACTGCTTTATTCTTTATGTCTGGGAAATGCTTTACTCTTTGCATTATCTTAGTTGTTCAATTACTTGTATCCATTTATTCAATCATTCAACAAGTTATTTTCATAGAGTACCAGCTGGGTGACTGGTGTGCTGGGCACCGAACTTGTAAAGATAAATAGGACATCGTTCCTCTTTTCTAGAAGCTTGCATTCTAACCCAGGAAGGAACATAAGAAAACCAGTTCATTTGATTTGGTAATGGAACGAAGTATAGAGTGCTAGAGCAGAGCGTGCCTGGAGGAAGTGATGCTCACGCTGACGACGATACAACTGTAGACGTCAGCCTGGCAAGAGGTGAGTGACAGAATGTTCCAGAAGAATCAATCCGTGCATACAGAGGGCCAAAAGTGATTCTGCTATATTATGGCAGAAGACTCTATAGAGTTTGTCAATGAACTGTGTTTGTAGAGCAAGGGGAAAGGAGATGTATGGAAATCCTCTTGGACTTCTTGAGATAATTTAGAAATGACCATCTATGGATGGTATTTGATGTCACAGGAGTGGATGAAATTATTGCCAAACATTTTATTAGACTGACTCTTGCCTACCCTTCCAGTTTCAGTTCATATGTCACTTCCTACAGAGAAAGGGCCCAGGACCATGCCCTTAGGAGCTACACCCCTTCAAGGTTCTATAGAGAGAAAGGAACTGACAAAGGAAACTAAAATGTAATGGGCAGAGGGATAGGAGGAGCCTCAGAAGGGACTGATGCTCTGGAATTTGAGAATGATGAGAATGATGATAATGATGAAGTTTAACCTTAAACTTTATCTGAATTGAATTCTAAAGTTTTTTTATTCTCAAAATTCAATTGCCATAGTTTTAAGAATCAAAAATATACTGAAATCGTTTAAAACTAATGTCTGCTTTGCAAATTATCAAAGGTAAAATTCAATAAAACAAATTCCATATATTAAAGGCTAAATAAAAAATTGAAGAAACATAAAAATTGAAAGATAAAAAGTTAAAGGATTAGCAAATAAATATAAGAAGATGTATAAACTATATATTAATATAAAAAAGCAAGAATGGCTAGAGAAATACTGGGCAAGATAGAATTTACAGGGGAAAATATTAAATGGAATAAATAAGATCATTTTATAGTGGCAAAATGCACAAAAAAGAGTTTCAAAGGCAATACAAAATTAATGAAATGGAATTGCTTAACATTTGACTCAATCTCAGTCAGCTTATGATAGAACAAGAGGTGACATAAATGACTTAATAAAGATACAGAAAATCTTTAAAACTTATGTACTCCAACATTAATATAAAATATGTATCAAACATTATAAATTGAAAAAAGAAAGTATACTATCTTCCTCAGTATTGCTTTAACATTTACAATCAAGCTTATATTTTGAGCAATCAAAAAATAATTCCAAAAAGGGAGAAATTTGTACTCTATATTTTCTTTTTTTTCCTTCCTTCCAACTTTTATGTTAGGTTCATGTGGTACAGGTGCAAGTTGTTACATGAGTAAATTGCATGTCGCATGGGTTAGGTGTACAGGTTATTTTGTCACCCAAGTAATGCACATAGTACCCAATAGGTAATTTTTTGATCTTCACCCTCCTCCTGCCCTCTACTCTCAAGTAGGCCCCAGTGTCTACTGTTCCCTTCTTAGGGTCCATCTGTGCTCAGTGTTTAGCTCCCACTTATAAGTGAGAACTTACATTTAGTTTTCCATTCCTATATTAATTCACTTAGAATAATGGCCTCCAGCTGTATCCATGTTGCTGCAAAGGACAAGATTTCATTGTTTATTATGGCTGCGTGGTATTCCATGTTGTATATGTACCACATTTTCTTTATCCAGTCCACCATTGTTGGACATCTAGGTTAATTCCATGCCTTTGCTATTGTGAATAGTGCTGTGATGAACATAGATGTGCATGTGTCTTTATGGTAGAATGATTTATATTCCTTTGGATATGTATCCAATAAGGGGATTGATGGGTTGAATGGTAGTTCTAAGTTCTTTGAGAAAGACCCTGTCTCAAAAAAAACAAAAACAAACAAAAAGGTGTTCCCTTTTCTCTGCAACCTCACCAGCATCTATTATTTTTTGACTTTTTAATAATATCCATTCTGATGGATGTGAGATGGTATCTCACTGTGGTGTTGGTTTGTATTTCTCTAATGATTAGTGACGACGTTGAGAATTTTTTTACTTACTTGTGGGTTGCATATATCTTCTTTTGAGAAGTGTTTGTTCATGTTCTTTGCCCATTTTTTAATGGGTTTGTTTCTTTGCCTGTTAAGTTTCTTATAAATTCTGGATATTAAACCTTTGTTGGTTGCATAGCTGCAAATATATTCTTCCATTCTGTAGGTTGTCTGTTTACTCTGTTGATAGTTTCTTTTGCTGTGCAGAAGTTCTTTATTTTAATTAGATCCCACTTCTCAATATTTACTTTTGTTGCAATTGCTTTTAGAGTCCTCATCATGAAGTCTTTGCCAGGATCTATGTTCAAAATAGTATTTCCTAGGTTTTCCTCCAGGGTTTTTACAGTTTTAAGTTTTACATTTAAGTCTTAAATTCATCTTGAGTTGTTCTTTTTAATATGGTGAAAGGAAGGGGTCCAGTTTCCATCTTCTGCATATGGCCAGCCAGTTATCCCGGCACAATTTATTGAATAAGGGGTCCTTTCCTCATTGCTTGTTTTTGTTGGCCTTGTCTAAGATTAGATTGTTGTAGGTGTGCAGCTTTATTTCTGAGTTTTCTATTCTGTTCCATTGGTCTATATGTCTGTTTTTGTACCAGTATTTTGCTGTTTTGGTTACTGTAGCATTATAGTATAGGTTGAAGTCCAGTAGAGTGATGTCTCTAGCTTTGTTCTTTTTGCTCAGGATTGCATAGCTATTTGGGCTCCTTTTTGGTTCCATATGAATTTTAGAATAGTTTTTTTTATAATTCTGTGAATAATGATGTTGGTAATTGAATTGGAATAAGCATTCAATCTGTAAATTGCTTTGGTAATATGGCCATTTTAATGATATTGATTCTCTCTATCCATGAGCGTGGAATGTTTTTCCATTTGTCTGTGTCATCTCTAATTTCTTTCAGCAGTGTTTAGTAATCTCATTGTAGAGATCTTTCACCTCCCTGGTTAGCTGTATTCCTTATATTTTATCCTTTTTGTGGCTATTGTGAATGGGATTGTGTTCTTGATTTGGCTCTCAGCTTGGATGTTATCGGTGTAAATGCTACTGATTTTTGTACACTTATTTCGTATTCTGAAACTTAGCTGAAGTTGTTTACCAGATCTAAGAGCCTTTGGGCAAAGACTATGGGGCTTTCTAGGTATAGAATGATCATCTTTGAAGAAATAGTTTGACTTCCTCTCTTCGTATTTGGATGACTTTTATTTTTCTCTTGCCCGATTTCTCTGGCTAGGACTTGCAAAACTATGTTGAATAGCAGTGGTAAGATTGGGCAACTTTGTCTTGTCCCAGTTTTCAAAAGGAATGCTTCCAGCTCTTGCCTGTTCAGTATGATGTTGGCTGTGGGTATGTCATAGATGGCTCTTACTATTTTGAAGTATATTCATTTGATGTATAGTTTGGTATGGGTTTTTAACATGAAGGGATGTTTAATTTTATTGAAAACTTCCTCTGCTTCTATTGAGATTATCATGTGGTGTTTGTTTTTCTGTTTATGTGATGCATCATATTTATTAATTTGTATATGTGGAACCAACCTTGTATCCCAGGAACAAAGCTTACTTGATCGTGGTGGATTAGCTTTTTGATGTACTGCTGGATTCAGTTTACTGGTATTTTGTTGCAGATTTTTGCATCTATGTTCATCAAGGATTTCAGCCTACAGTTTTCTTTCTTTGTTGTATCTCTGACAGGTTTTAGTATCAGAATTATGCTGGCTTCATATAATGTGTTAGGGAGGAGTCCTGCTTCCTCAATTTTTTGGAACAATTTCAGTAGGATTGGCACCAGCTCTTCTTTATACATCTGGTAGAATTTGGCTGTAAATCTATCTGGTCCAGTACTTTTTCTGGTTGATAGGTTTTTTATTACTGATTCAATTTTGGAACTTATTATTTGTCTGTTCAGGGTTTCAATTTCTTCCTGGTTCAATCTAGGGAGGTTGTATATTTCAAGGAGTTTATCCAACGTATCCATTTCTTCTAGGTTTTCTAGTTTGCGTGTCCATAGAGGTGCTCATAATAGTCTTTGAGGGTTATTCTGTATTTCTGTGGGGTTTGTGGTAATTTCCCCTTTGTCATTTCTGATTGTGTTTATTTTGATCTTTTCTCTTTTGTTATTAGTCTAGCTAGTGTAATTTCTAACCACAATACAAGAAATAGTGGAAATTATAAATAAAAATTCAAACCAATAATAACAAAAATGTTAATCACAACTACAGAAAAGACAATCATTGATTCAAGGAAGGAGTAAAAATAAAATAGTATTCTACTTAGACAACAACTAAAATACAAATGCAGTCTTTTATCTCAAAAGAGATAAAAAAGAAATAAAATAAGCATTAACTCAAGCTGTTAGAATCAAGAATCCTAAGGAAAACAGATAGAAATAAATTACTGTATAAAATAGAAATGACTATATTGAAATAAGTAAACATGGAATAACTAAATATTTTTCAAATAAATTATTAGTGGGCCTATGAGGAAAATAAGGAAAAAGCAATATAAATAAAAAGCAAATAAATAAAACTTAAGTCAATATAAATAAGCTAAAGCACACAGCATCTAAAATATTAAACAAATAAATAATCTCTACAAATATTATTTAATAAAATTTAAAACACTCTGTGATTTTTGAAGAAATAAAATTCACAAAGAACAAGAAACCATCATGACTCCATGGCTGGGTGGTTTTAAGGATAAAATTATCTAAAATTACCAGAGAATATATAAATTCTATGCTACATAAATATTTTGTGGAAACATAGATGAATGAAATCATTCCCACCTAATTTTACCAAGCCAATGTTTTTGTGAAATTAAATCTAACAAAAATAAACACCAAATAATAGTACAAGTCAATAGCAGTTGTTAATAGAGAAATAAACATCCTTAACAAAATTTTCAGTGTAATGTTAAAAGTGTAATCTGTCATGACTAAGAAATATTTATTTTAGACATTCAAGAGGTTGAAAATCAGGGTATAGGATATGTTACTTTATATGACTAGGTTGAATTTCTTAAATAAGGTCATTTTAAAAGATTTATGAAAAAGATTTGGCATTTAGAAAAAAGATTTTAATAAATATCTCCAAATCTATAATTCAAAAACTCTTTTAAAAAATTAAAATAGATTAATATTGTCTCAAATAGCAAGCAATTTTATTTTCAAACCAGTGATCAATAAAATATTAGCAGCAAACATTCAGAGCCATTAATATGGTTTGGCTCTGTCCACGCCCAAATCTCATCTTGTAGCTCCCATAATTCCCACGTGTTGTGGTAGGGACCCAGATGGAGATGATTAAATTAAGGGGGCGGGTCTTTCCTGTGCTGTTCTTATAGTGAATAAGTCTCACAATATCTGATGATTTTAAAAATGGGAGTTTGCCTGCACAACCTCTTTCTTTGACTGCCACCATCCATGTAAGGTGTGACTTGCACCTCCTTACCTTCCACCATGATTGTGAGGCTTCCCTAGCCATGTGGAACTGTGAGTTCTCCATTAAACCTCTTTCCTTTGTAAACTGCCTGGTCTCAGGTATGTCTTTATCAGCAACATGAAAACAGACTAGAGTCATTTTATTACAATCACAAAGTAATGCTGACTACTATTGTTTTTAATATGAAAGGTTTGAAAAATGCTATTAGATGCAAAAAAATTAAAAAATATTGGTATAGAGAGACAAAATTATTATTACATGGTAAGATCATATATCAGAAAAAGGAATCATTAGAAACAACTTTTAAAATTCATTTTGTGAAGTGGAGCTGTGATATTATGAAATATACATTTGGTCTTTGTCCAGTCTTCTGGCATCCAACTCCTGAAATATTTGGAATCCTTAAAGTGATGTGTCTTTTTGTATGCTAATGAGTTGCCTGGAGGTTGGCAGATCCTAAGTAGCTTCAGGATGGGGGCTGGACTTTCAGTCATACCCCCAACCTTCAAGGATGGAAGAGGACCTGAAGGTTGGATTGATCACCAATGGCCAATGATTTAATCAATCATGTCTCTATAATAAAGCTTCCATAGAAACCCAAAAAGAATGGGTTCAGGGAGCTCTTGACAGTAGGACGTGTGGAGGTTCCTGGAGGGTGGTGCACCCCAACTCCATGGGGACAGAAGCTCTTGCACTCAGGATACTTCCATACCTCGCCCTATTCATCCTTTCATCTGTATCCTTTGTAAGGATTCATCTGTATCCTTTGTAATACCTATTGTAATCAACCAGTAACCATAAATGTTTCCCTGAGTTCTGTGAGCCTCACTCTAGTAAATTCATCAAACCCAAGGAGAAGGTTGTGGGAACCCCAATTTATAGCAGGTCAGTCAGAAGCACAGGTAAAACAACCTGGGGCCTGGGACTGGTTTTAGAAGTGGAGGGCAATGTTGTGGGATTGAGCCCTTCACCATTGGAATCTGATGCTATCTCCAGGTGGTTAGTGTCGGAATTGAATGAGAGAACACCCAGCTGGTGTTCACTGCAGAACTGATTTTTTGCTTGGTGGTGGGGAGAAACTGCCACACATTTGGTCAGAGAGTCTTCTGTGTTGATTGTTGTTGAATGAGAGAATAGAAAAAACTGATTTTTTTTTTTAACCAGGGGCCAACTCAAAATAAATACATAAATTTTATAGTATTTTTATAGAACTGAAATAAAGTTTTAACATATAATGGAAAAAGAAACTAGATTAATAGTATCCACAAAAAAAAATAGTAAAAATTCAGGGATAATATTAACAGACATATAACTCAGGAGACTTTTTGTGCTCTGGAAGGAAAGACAAAATTTTTAAGTATGGCAACTCTCTCACCCCCAATAAATACACAGACTTAATCTAGTTCAAAATTAAAGGGAGCTTTATGAAAACTCTGTAAAAATAAGTACAAATTTTATCAGAAGTCTTAAATATATTATAAAGTTCAATGCATTAAATACTATTGGTACAAAAATGGCTATAGATAATGGAACATAATAGATTGCCCAACAATAAATCCCAACATATTTGAGAAATGAAAATATGATTAATGAAAGATTACAAATCAATGGATAAGAAAAAGAATGTTCTAGGAATGATTTGGGTTCATTTGATTACAAAATTTGGGAAAAAAATACAGATTCTCACCTTACTTCACATACCAGCATAAGCCTCATATGTGTTAAAGAGTTATATGTGAAAAATATTAAGCATAAAATCTTAGAAGATAACATGGAAGTGCACCTTATTAAATGTTGAAGGGGAGTGGTGAGGGAAGGGCAGGCAGGTAATGAGAAGTAAATAATTTTAAGCTAAAACATAATTACAAATAAAAAATAGTTTTAATTACATAAAAAAATTAAAATCTATGGGTAAAACATTGAAAACAAATGCCCAAAGCAGAACATATTTGCAGCAAATATGAGAGTTAAATTCTTTATTAAATAAAGAGCTATAAAACAGATAAAAGAAGTAAAAAGTATCAAATACATGAATGATCAAAGGACATTAAAAGAAATTCACAGAAGAAAATACAATTAATATACTACCATTTATGAAAATATTCAGCTTCTCTAGGAATCAAAGAAAATGATTTGATAACTGACCTGTGAAATTAGGGAGAAAGGGAAATGTATAAACACAGCCTGTCAAGGATGGATGAAACAGAGACTCTCATTCATAGCCAGTTGCAGTATAAATTTGTATATGTTTGGAAAGCAATTTGAGGAAGCAGTTATCCCCTTGTACTTGGTAATTTCACTTCTGGATATAAATCTTAAGGGAACCATTCTAAATAGAGACAAGGTACTAGGCACAGTTTTTCTCAGGCTTGTTGGTTGGTTGGTTGGTTGGTTTTCCTATATGTGAATCAGATTCATTCTTTTATTTTTCATAGTTACAAGGGAAACAACTTAAAAGTGTAACCCAAGAAGATTAATTATTTTCTGGTATACCCGCCCACTCAATGATGTACTATGCAAAATAGACTATAATATTGTTAAGTGAAAATAAAAGATGTAAATTATATGTGTAATAGGATAAGTGTTCAAATTAAAGTTTCACATGAGTAAAAGGACTAAAAGGAAATATATCAAAATCTTAATGGCAGTGGTGATTGGTTAATGAAACTCCATGTGCTATGGAGTTTTTCCTAATTTTCTTTATTGTCAAATTTTTCTTTAGTGAATATGAATAATTTTTATTTTTGATGAAACAATGACAAAAAAAAACACTAAACAAGGACAACTAATTTGCATCAGCTACTAGGTCAGCAGTTTTCTGAGGCCTGGAAGGGAAAGAAAGTCTTCTTTAGAGAGTGGGGCTCAGGCACCCCCCTTCTCCCCAACATAGCCTCTCTTTTGAGAGGCAAGCACAGCTCTGAGACAGGGGTGGGCTGGGAAGGAAAGAATTAGGAACAGCTGGGGCAGATTCAGAACCATGACATGCATTCCTCTTCAAAGGCAGCTCAGAGGCTGGCAAGGTGAGTGAGAGTTCAGAGGAGAGAGAGCTTACAAATGGGTGG
Source organism: Homo sapiens (assembly GCF_000001405.40). Classification (NCBI taxonomy): domain Eukaryota; kingdom Metazoa; phylum Chordata; class Mammalia; order Primates; family Hominidae; genus Homo; species Homo sapiens. The sequence goes on along the minus strand of NC_000012.12, from coordinate 43,039,213 downwards.
ATTAAGCTAAAAATGAGCAGGAGGCATCTTGAGGGCACCACTCGTGCTCAGAGTGAGTAAAGAGAAGAATGCGGCATTTGACACCTGCGGGCTAACCAGCAGCTGAGTATAAGCTGTGGGAGAAAGTTAAAAGCTATAAAAAGTGGTTGTGTTCACCCATGGAAAAGCCAAGGAAATAAGGCAGTGGTTAGAAGAAAGAGCTCATTTCAAATTGGTAATGAATTGTATCATTTATAACTAAGCCTCTCTTGGTTTCATCATTTGGTCTAAATTGTGGGTGTGTTCATGTAGAAGTGACGTTTTCCAACAATTATGCTTTAATTTTACATAAGGCAAGTTTTTTTTTTTCAAAAAAAGGAAATATATAAGAATGAAAAAAGCACTAGAAAAATCTGACCCTGGGCTGCATTTGCTTAGCCAAATGGCTTAAATATTATGAGCCTTGGTTTTCTCATTTATGGGGATTCAGTAATTCATTGAGCCTCTCTACTGCAGGCACTGTACCCAGCACCAGAGATTCATGGTTAAGTAAGAAGGACAAGCTTCTCACCCTTCAGGGGACCAATGGGAAAGCAGAGAGCTGAAGACAGTGGGATGAGTGCCATGGAAGGGGATGAAGGAGGGTTGGGGTTATTGAGGCTTTGTAGTAGTGACATCTCATCCAAGTTCAGAGACTACATGGCCTGCCTGAAAGACAAGGGAAAGGCTTTCCATCTGGCTTGACAAAAAGGGGCATGTCATACTAAGCCTTTTCAAACACTCTGGACTTTATCCTACACAGTTTGGGAAGATATTGCAGATTTTAAGCCCAAGGGTCACACAAGCAAATGTACATTTCTCAAAGAACACTCCTGGGTGTGTGAAGAAAGAACATGAGGAAGGAGGCTACTAGACAGTACACTCTTGCAGAAAGTGAGGGGAGAGAGAGTGGCAGATGGAAGTATAGATTTATATGCAAGGATGAAAACAGAGACAGATTTCAGGTTATGAACGGAAGAGAGAAGCAAAGGTGTCACCCAAGTTTCTGATCTTACTAAGTAGGAAGAAGCTGGTGCTGCAGTCTGGGACACAGACAAGAAAAGAGGAGCAGGCCTGAGAGAGAAAATGTTGATTCCAGTTTTGAACACGTTGATTTTGAGGGACCGTGAGGCATTTAACTTGTGAAGTCCCCCCACCAGCCCCCAAACTTAACTTGTGGAGTTGATGAGAACTCTGAAGCTCCAGAGGAAGAGCTGGTCTTAGGACAGATTTAGAAAACATTAGCAAATAAATGTGTGTGAATGAAACCATCCAGACAGAGTACTCAGAGGGAGAAGAGGTTCATGGAAGAATCCTGACAAATCCCAATACTGAAGGTGCAATACAAGAAGAGGAGCTTGAACAGTCGCTAAGATGGAGTGCACATGAGGGCAGAAATAAAATTTTATGGCTGCAGAGTCACAGAGGTCAGGGAGGAAGTGGTAAAGGCTGCCCAATGTCATGGAGAATGAAATAATACAAAGGCCAAGGGGTACCACTGGAGTCGGCTATGAGGGGTTATTGGTAAACTTGGCCAAAGAATTAATGTGGCATGATGAGGGTAGAACCCAGATCGCAGTGGCTGAGGAGTGAATGTCATGTGATAAAGAAGAAACATCAAATGGAGGCAATTCCACAATTTCTTTAACAAAATTCAACTGTGAAATGGAGAAGATATGGAAAGAGCTTGAGAAATTGTATTAGTTTCCTAGAACTGCCATAGCAAATTACCACAAAGAAGATGGCTTAAAACAACATTTATCGCATCCCAGTTCCCGGGGACTAGATGTCTGAAATCAAGATGTTGGCAAGCCAGCATCCCACTGAAGGTTCTAGGGAAGATTCCTTCCTTGCCTTCTCCTAGCATCTGAGGCCTCCTGGCAGTCCTGGTGTTCCTTGGTTTGTAGCTGAACCACACAGTCTCTGCCTCCTCCTTCACAGGACCTTCTTCTTCCCTCATGTCTGTGTCTCTGTGTCTGCCTATTCCTCTTTCTTCTCTTATCAACACACCCGTCATTGGGTTTAGGACCTGCCCTAATCCAATATGACCTCATTTTAACCTAACCTACATCCGCAAAGACCTTTTTTCCAAATGAAGTCACATTCTGAGATTCTGGTGGATATGAATTTTGACATGATTCAACCCAGTACAGAAATATATGGGGAAAGTGACTTTTGTTTGTTTCTGTGGTTGCTTGTTTTGTTTAATAATTTTACACCTGGAAAATTAAATGATTGGGTCCTTTGTGATACATACATGACGCCAATTTGAAAACCTAGGTCTCCTAGAGATAACAATTATTTGATAGGAGGTTCTCCCAAAATCTTAAGAGATGTTACACCAAATATGAGATTCATAAAAGAAATTGTCCCTGAGGGATAAATATGGTAATGCTGTAGTAACTTTGCATCATTTCTTATGGCTTTCAACAACTGTTTTAACTCTTTGGAAATTATATAAATGTAGACAAGACTTATGAGACAGAACCGAATGAGATTTTGTATCTTATTCAATTTCAGATTTTCTCTAGGATAGCATGATTTTAGAGTAATCCATTTCCATGAGGAACAATTTAGGCCTTTTGTTTACAACTTGCCAAAGGGGGAAAAAAACTAGCTTATATAGTGTTTAAATAAATCGGCCAGTTGGGGAGGGTATCATGTAGTTACAATTTGTTATCATTTTATTGGGATTAAAATAATTAACTTATATACCTCATTTCCTCATGGCATGACTAAAATAAAATAAACAGAACAAAAACAGATCCCTTACCTTGAAAAAGAAAACAGACAAAACTTCAAGACCAGCTACACCAGAGGTATTTGAAATACTGGAGTCCTTTCTCTCTTCACTGAGGTTTTATTACAAGAATTAAAATTCTGAATATTAAACCCACATTGGAGATAGCTATTAAAATAAGCAGGAAATGCAGAAAAGATAGTTCTCTTATATAATATTTTCATTTCTACTCTCATCCTGTATAGCTTAAACTAAAATGCAGCAATCTAAAAATGCATACATATTACTCTGGTGCCAGTGGAATAACCATAATTTTCATTTACCTTTCATTCCTTCCTGAAGGCAAAAATCTGAAAGGAAACACCTGCAGATTTTGCCTCCTAGTCCTTGACTTTTCCAGCAATATGATCCACAGACTAGAGTGTGGACACTGTTTCATTTGAGATTGGATGAAGGGAAAATTGTAAAGTACTTTTTACATAACCACCTGTTCTTTTCCCCTAGTGTCAACGACAGCTCCCCACTGGCTGGGTGCACCAGCACATTTCCTATTCGAAGCCCACCGCTGGAAGCTCTGCACAAGTGTCCCTCACAGCCAGCACCTGGGGACCATTACTACTACTACCTTACAGTGATGGGTGGTGGAGCTGGGAGCTGAACACTGCCCACTCCACCCAAGTTCTTCATCACTCACGCTACACCCACTGCCCTTTCCCATCATACGTTGATTTTATAGATCACAGAAAAGTAGCAATAATAAAAGCACCAGTCAGTTCCCCACAGACTCTGGAAAAATGTACTTATATCTCAGAGGAAAGTCTAGGTTGGATACTATCTAGGTTTAATGTCTTTTCGCTTCATTGGGTTAAGCTATTTTAGTGCATTCCCTAACAAGCTCATGTTTGACAAATTGCTATGTATATAAAGATTTGTGGTATAATAAAATTAACTTTTTTCTTTTGCATGAATCAGAAACCAAAATAGAAAATAGCCTCTCCACTGATCAAATAAGTAAATATTGGGTGCCAAATATGTGCCAGGCACGACTATTAGCACTAGGTATGCCAAAATCAGCAGAATAGAAGTGGTCTCTGCACTGACAGCTTGTAGACAAACGATAAGCAAATAACTCTATAATTAGAAAATGATAAACCTGGTAAATTCTACAAAGGTAAAAAAATATTTAAAAAAAGGAATTTATGAGAGTAAGTCATAAATTTGTAGTGTAGGCAACATGGAGGTTTCTCTGAGACCATGGAAGTAGAGATGAAATCTGATGAGTGGAAACTTATTAAGTGAAATGCAGAGGCTGGAAGCACTCCAGGTAGAGATAAATACACACAAAGATGTTAAGTGAGAAAAGAACAAGATGCATGCAAGGGTTCTGACCAGGAGATTGATGTGATATAGTTATCTGTGAACAATATGATATCACGTACTGTGGTAGGGAGCACTAAAAGAGGTTACAGATGAAATCATAAGTTAGGTTCTGGCCATGTTGTATTTAGGGTACTTGTGAGACCTCCAGGAGGAAATATCAAGTGCACCAGATATACAGGTCTGAGACTCTGAAGAGACTCATTCAAGTGAATATGTTTGAGAGCCATTGACATATTGAAGACAATTGCAGCTGTGAGACAGGGAAGAGGAAAGGAGAAAGAAGTCCAGAAGCAAGCCTTCGCAGCTCCAATACTTAGAGATCAGGTAGAGTCAAATGAGCCCGCAAAAGGACTCAAAGGGGAGGAGAGGAGAAAGCCTAGGAGAACAGCTTTGTTCCAGAAGACAAGGGAAAAGATTGTTTTAAGGATAGAATGATTGGCTGTTGTGAAATCTGCTGAGAAATCAAGTAATATGAAAGCTGAACAGTATCCTTTAAGTTTGGGGCCTTAAGGATGATTGGTGACCTTAGCGGGAGCCATTTCAGGAATGACGGAGGTGGAAGTTGAATTGAAGGGGGTTGAGGAGAGTGTAGGAAGTATGTTGTTCAACAAAAATTTACTGTTTTGTGAGCCTGTGTATGTTCATCATCTAACAGGATGGAAAAATAACTAATAACTCTCAATTGCCTGGTTATGCTGTAGATTTCTTGGAGAGAGAAGGAGAGACAGACAGAGGAGAAAAGAAAATAAAGGAAGAAAAGAAAGAAAGAAAGAAAGAAAGAAAGAAAGAAAGAAAGAAAGAAAGAAAGAAAGAAAGAAAGAAAGAAAGGAAAAAATATTCAACCCAAGGGCAAAAAGTGAACCACGAACAAAGATGCTGGAGTTACACTTATTTTTTTTTGTCTTTTTTTTTTTTTCCTTTTTCTGGAGAACGGGGTCTCACTATATTGCCCAGGCAGGTCTCAAACTCCTGGGCTCAAGCTATCCTCCTGCCTCTTGCCTCCCTGAAAGCTGGGATTACAGGTGTGAGCCACCGCGCCCGGCCAAAGATGCTGGAAAGTGATCTAAAAGTATTAGCATTACTTTCCATTTAAGACTTGGGGGTAAGTTTTCGCCTGGAACATGAAATGTTCACTAGCAAGATAAAATATTTCACTGCATTTTAAGAGCAGACTTTTATCTGATACAAATTCGGTCTAGTGAAACAATTTATGGTTTGTTAAATATTCTGTATTAAGGTCTTTCACTTCAGCATGGCCAATAAAAGAAAGGTAGAAAAGGCCTCTTATAATGAAGAAATAGCCTTGCCTTCCTGAATTATTATGTTTTTATCATAGTAACTTAATAAACATTATACTAACTTATAATCTCCTAGTAAAAGGTCTTTGGGGGCATAATTTTAATTGTAAATACAGGCACACTTCATTTTGTTGCAGTTCACTTCATTGCACTTCATAGATAACTGTGTTTTTCACAAATTGAAGGTTTGTGGCAACCTTGTATCAAGCAAGTCTGTTGGTGCCATTATTTCCAACAGCAAGTGCTCACTTTGTGTCTCTGCATCAGTCACATTTTGGTAATCCTTGCAATATTCCAAACTTTTTCATCATTATTATAACTGTTATGGTGATCTGTGTTCAGTAATCTTTGATGTTACTATTATAATTGTTTTTTGGGTGCTACAATCCATGCTCATGTAAGGTGACAAACAAGTAATATATGTTGTATGTGTTCTAACTACTCCACCAACTGGCAATTCCCCATGCTCTCCCTCTCCTTGGGGCTCTCCATTCCCTGAGACACAACAATATTGGAATTAGGCCAATTATTAACCCTTGGATGGCCTCTAAGTGTTCAAATGGAAAGAAGAGTTGCACATCTCTTACTTTAAAACAAAAGCTAGAAATGATTAAGCTTAGTGAGGAAGGCATGTCAAAAACTGACACAGTCTGAAAACTGGGCCTCTTATAACAAACAGTTGCCAAGCTGTGACTGCAAAGGAAAAGTTCTTGAAAGTCATTAAAAGTACTACTCCAGTGAACACGTGAATGATGGGAAAATGAAACAGCCTTATTGCTAATATGGAGACAGTTTTAGTGGTTCTGGATAAAAGATCAAACCAGCCACAACATTTCCTTAAGCCAAAGCCTAAACCAGAGCAAGCCTCTAACGCTCATCAATTCTATGAAGGCTGAGAGAGGTAAGGAAGCTGCAGAAGAAAAGTTTGAAGCTAGCAGAGATGGGTTTGTGAGGTTTAAGGAAAGGAGCCATCTCCATAACGTAAAAGTGCAAGGTGAAGCAGAAAGTGCTGATGGAGAAGCTGCAGCAAGGTATCCAGAAGATCTAGCTAAGGTAATGGATGAAGGTGGCTGCACTAAACAACAGATTTTCCATGTAGATGAAACAGTTTTAAATTGGAGGAAGATAGCATCTAGGACTTTCATAGCTACAGAGGAAAAGTCAATGTCTGGCTTCAAAGCTTCATAGAACAGGCTGACTCTCTTTTTAGGGGCTAAGGCAGCTGGTGACTATAAGATGAAGCCAAGGCTTATTGAACATTCTGAAAATCATAGGGCCCTTAGGAATGATGCTAAATCTACTTTGCCTGTGCTCTATTAATGGAACAACAACGCTTTCATGATACATCTGTTTACAGCATGGTTTACTGAATATTTTAAGCCCACTGTTGAGACCTACTGCTCAGAAAAAAAATTATTTTCAAAATATTACTGCTCACTGACAATGCACCTAGTCATCCAAGAGCTCTGATAGAGATTAGTGTTGTTTTTATGCCCACTAACACACCATCCATTCTGCAGCCCATAAATCAAGGAGTAATTTCATCTTTCAAATCTTATTACTTAAGAAATATATTCTGTAAGTCTATAGTTTCCATAGATAATTATTCTTCTGATGAATATGAGAAAAGTAAATTGAAAGCCTTTGGGAAAGGATTCATCATTCTAGATGGCATTAAGAACATTTGTATTTCAAGGAAGAAGGTCAAAAGATCAACAGTAATAGGAGTGTGGAAGAAATTATCCTAACCCCCATGAAGGACTTGGAGGGCTTTAAGACTTCAGTGGAGGAGGTAACTGCAGATGTGATGAAAATAGCAAGGGAACTAGAATTAGACATGGAGCCTGAAGATGTGACTGAATTGTTGCAATCACATGATAAAATTTTAATGGATGAGTAGTTGTTTCTTATGAATGAGCAAAGAAAGTGGTTTGTTGAGATGGAATCTACTCCTGGTGATGATGCTATGAACATTGTTAAAATAACAACACAGAATATTACATAAACTTAGTTGATAAAGCAGCAGCAGAGTTTGAAAGTCTTGACTCCAATATTGAAAGAAGCTCTACAGTGGGTAAAATGCTATCAAATACCACATGCTGCAGATAAATCTTTCATGGAAGGAAGAGCCAATGGATAAGGCAAACTTCTTATTGTTGGGGCTGTTGTCTTTTTAAAGAAATTCTCACAGCAACCTCAACCTTCACCTGATTAGTCAACAGCCATCAACATCAAGGCAAGACCCTCCACCAGGAAAAAGATTATAACTTATTGAAAGTTCAGGTGATCATTAGCGATTTTTAGCAATGCAGTATTTTTTTTAAATTAAAGTGTGCACATTATTTGTATAGACATAATGCTATGAACACTTACCAGACTATAGTATAGTATAAACATAACTTCAATATGCACTGGAAAACCAGAAAATTCTCACTTTCTTGCCATTTTCACTTCATTGCATTGGTCTGGAACTCAACCAGCCATATCTCCAAAGTACGCCTGTATACTGAATATCATACATTACTATAGCAAGTAATTTCAAATAAAATATTCACATTTTTTAAACCTACATTTTGTTCATCCTAACTTCTCCATCTGTTTTCTGAATTACATTAATCCTTCCAACCCTAGTTCAGCCCCTCTCATTTGATCCCTTCCATTGACTTAATTCTACTGTCAACCACTAGATCTTTTGTTACACTTGAGGTTCTTCTGGGTCCCTCTCCAACTTTCAATATTCTCCTTTTCCCTTTCTCTCACTGCTGAGCACAAACGGAAAAATCACTCACACTTTCACACACCCTCAAAGCCGTAGAGTAGAAAATGAGTTTATTAGTAGTATGTTTTATACAAAAAAAAAAAAAAGAGTAGAACACTCTTGCCAGGGAAGCTCAGTGACAAGGATCTCTCCTGAGTCTCTCTCTCTCTCTCTCTCTCTCTCTCACACACACACACACACACACACACACAGAGTGAGAGCAAGAGACTCATACTTCCAGATAAACCAATCCAGCTAAAAATGTAGATACAATTTGTTTATTTCCTCCCACATTCTGTTAGAAGTTTTCTCATTTACACTTCGTAGTTCCCTTATCAAGGCCCACTTGAGCAAATGCCTATCAAAACAAACTAACCAAAATATAAACATAAGTACCAGCGGAGGAATTTAGTTCCAATGATCCTGACCTTTATAAATGTTAAACTTTTTGAACCTCTTACAATGGAATACAGAACTTCCAGAAAACTATTTTCTTCCACCAGGAGTGCTAAGAAATAGTGATGCTGCGAGAGGAGAGAAACAGAATAGAAAGAATGGGAACACACCATGCTATCCACCCCAATTCTCCTGTTCCCTCCCCCAAAATGGTCCTCATCGAAGCAGAACAATCAAAAGAGGATGAGAAGACCAATTTGTTTCTACAATTAAAAATATCGATAATCTAAATTTTATTTGAGCATTGACTGTGTGTCAATAACAAACTATGGCTATATATGATTTGTTGCATTTAGGTCACTTATGAAAATTCCAATGTCAGTTCATGTATAGGCCACTTTTTGGAGCCAACAATTACAAGGAAAGAATAAAACCTGTGACTCACTCTCAAGACTTTCATTCGTCTTCCTTCAACCACAAGGATCTAGTTTCTATAAATAATCTTTTTCCTGATCCTCAGGACCCCCTACTACTTAACATTATAAATATGCAGCACTTTATATTTATGTACTCATTACTCTCAACTATTCCATGTTCCAGAACTCATCAACCCTCTTGTTTTCATAGCACCATATCTTTACTCCAAACAATCTCATCTTGCTGATGTCTATATTTTTAAAAGATGTGCCCTCATTCTCCCATATTATTCAGGTCAAAATCTTGGCATCTTCTGTGATTCTGCCCGCTCTCAGCCTCCCAAATCCAATCAGTTATCAAGTCCTATAATAATAGCAACCATTTTTAAATGCCTATTCTGTACTGAACTGGGGATTTATAAAATGGGGTCATATTTACTCACACTGCATTCTGGTTTTGCAAAGAAAATGTAGTTTTTTTCTCTAATACTGCTCTGACTTTTACTCATGGGTTCTACTTAGGAGGGTGGCAGAAAAAAAACACAACAACTAAAGATTAGTCCAATCTAGTTAATGGAACAATTTATAATGGTTCCTTTAAGTAATGTGCAGTCTCTTGGAGCAAAAATGTAAATCTCTCATATATCCATCTTCCTCCCTCTGCTTTCCCCCAGATGGCATTTTGGTGACACCTCATGATGGCAGAACTGGATGGCATCCTCGGACAGAACCGTATATCTTCACTTCTCCCTGGGCTCCCTCCTGAACTGGTGACAATGGGCCATCACTGGCCTTGTCTCTGGGAATTTTTGTTGCATCTGCTGCTGAAGTCTGTGCTTCTTACTCTGGCCCAGTCCTCTTCCCTGCTGCTTTGTTCCCCCTCAAATGCTTCCAGTTCCTCCCACTGTCCACCACCAGCCTCTGGTTTGGGGTCAGCATGGCCCTTTCACAACTGTGCTAGTGGCAGGGCCACACTGGCTCTCTACTTAGCTGTTTCCTGTGGCCCTTCTGTGGGCCTCTAGAATATTCTGGTTCTAATTCACAGCACACAGAAATTGAAAACAGCTCAGAAATTGTAAACTCTGGCCCTCTGTCTGTTTAAAGAAACTAGAGATGGAGTTACTCTGATTGAGCTCCTTCTACCCTCTTAGACTCCTGCAGGAGAGCACTGAGTCACTCAGTCTCAACAATCTTCACCCCTGGCTGTCTTGCCTCTCCGAGCTTCTTCCTCTGCACACAGCCCCTGAAATTGAAGTGGTCAAGACTCCTCCTCCTTTTTCTTCCTGGCAAGATACGACTTCCTCTATATAAATCTCCATTTGTCCCCTCCTCAATGATAACCTTCATTGCCCTCTGATTATTAGTTCCTCTGAAAGCCGACTTCATTTTTTTCTCTTTATGTCCCACACACTTGACCATAATACTTGTGAAATTGTATGTCCTCGCTCTGCTTTCACAGCTTTGTCTCCCGTCAGCTCTTCCGTATACAAACTTTCATCACAAGGTGCTTGTTCAGTTGACAATTTTATATCATAAAGGTTCTTGAAAATATCTATGACTTTTGTTACTCAGTTTAATAATATTTGAACCACCCTCCCCACCCCCCCCCCCAAAAAATATGCACTCTGCAAAGTAACATACCAACATTGCTCTTAAGGGAAAGGTACTCTCACCAATGTTCTTGATGCAACACTTTCTGGTTTGAGACTATCGAGGGGGCACATTAGAATATGTACCATATTTGGATGAACTCAAAGCATTTTGTTTTGTGAATGGGATGAAAGGCAGCAACTTTCCCACCTCTTCATTCTCTTGTATTCATTGGACTATTTTCATATGTCCTGAAACACTCATTTTTAACCTTTATTTTCTCTGAAGATGTTTTTCTGTACTATTACCTCATTTTTAAATGAGTCACAAAGAGGTTGCCTGCTAAAAGTAGATCATCTATTTACACCTTCCAAGGAATGACCTTCCTCATCCCTACCACCAATGCACCTACTATCACACCTCTCTTCCCACTTTGTTGAGTACAAAAAAACCTTCCTTATGCTGAATTGTATGTCTGAAAGTAAAACAATAGAGTTAAATTTATATATTTTTCTGTGAATATTATTTGGATACATATCTCAGTTTGAGATGGAATGCATCACAATTTTCCCATTAAAATGAATGAAAAAAAAAATGCATTGACTTTTAACTTAGTAACAGTTTTCAGGAAAAAAATGAATATATGTCATCCTTTTATGTTCTTTCTTCCCTCCTTTCTCCCATCCTTTTCTTCCTTCTTAATTCTTAACAAGCATTTAGGAGTGACTAATGTATACACAGTGACCAAGACCCTTCCTTGAAGGTTCTCTGATAGTCTGATGCAGTGGTTGTCAAGGGCATAGGGGAGCAATTTTGCCCCTTTGTCCCCTCAGGGACATTTGACAATATCTGGAGATCGTTTTGGCTGTCACAAATCCAGCATGGTGGGGAGAAAGGTATACGACTGGCATATAGTGGATAGAATTTAGGGATACTGCTAAGCATTCTACAATGCGCAGAACAGAACCCACAGAAAAGAATTATCTGCTCCCAAAGGTCAACGGTGCTGAGGATGAGAAACCTTACTTTAATGGGTCCTATCTTTTCTGCTACAAGGCCATTCACAATAGAATACTTCCCTTTTGTCATTTCTCTACCCTCAAGTTTGAAAATTCTAAATTCTCATTTTTAAAGGCCATATAGAATGTCACTCTCTTTTTGATGCCTTTTTAAATTCCTGCTACTGAATGTGATGCCTTCTTTCTCCTGAACCCCACAGTATGTTTAATGTAATTCTTTCACAGATTTTGCCAAGCTACTGTTCTCTAATCAAATTATTAATATTTTTCCCCATGAATTTAGTGCTTTCTATTGGAATTTTGAGAAAGTTGCTATCTTAGTCCATACATGTTGCTCTAACAAGGTACCTGAGACTGGGTAGTTTACAGCAACAGAAATGTATTTCTCACAGGTCTGAAGGCTGGAGTCCAGATGGAGGCACTGGCAGTTTCAGTGTCTAGTGAGGGCTGCTCTCTGCTTCAAGATGGTCTCTTCAACAATATGTCATCACATAGCACTAGACAGTGAACACACTCCTCAAGCCCTTTGTATAAGGTCCCTAATTTCATTCCTGAGCGCTCCACCCTTATGACTTAATCACCTTCCAAAGGCCCTACCTCCTAATAGTTTCACATTGGCCATTAAGTTTCAACACACGAATTTTGGAGTACACATTTCAGACCATAGCAATTGCTTAATCTCATTGGACCTTAATTTTATTATTTGCACAATAAACAGGGATGATGTGATGCCTCAGTACTCTTTCCAGCTCCCCATGTTTGATCTCTTCCTTATCAATAGTGTGCAATTCTTACCCCCACATACCAGTATTCAAACGAAGTCCTACATCTGCAGAATTCTTGTTCTAACTTGTCATACCAGCAGCCACGATAATCCATTAAAATTCTTTTCTAATAATTATAGAGTTTTAGATCAGTTTTTTTGGGAAATGAAAAAAAAATCAAAGAGGTGACTAAGAAGTTATTGATAGACACATAAAGATTACAGTGATTTAAATTTGAGTATCCAAAGTGGTTATAAATATCAAGGGGACAGGGCTACCTCTCTATTTCATTCTATGTTTTTGAATCCTTTAATCCAAGTGGAATTTAAAGCACTGTCCTACCACTTATCCCTGTAATCTGTCTGTTCAGTGTGGTTTTTGTGAACCTTGGAAACAACCTATGTATTATGTAAATAATGAGGTATAATATAATAAAAATGAGATAATTATATAGCATTTTGAAGATATAACTAAATTGTTTACATTTTTTAAATCAAAGTAGTAACATATTTCAGCTTTATGTTTAGTCAAAATACGGATTTGAAAAATAAGGGTTTTTATAACATGTCAGTCTATTTTTAATTTTTTAATAAATCATTCCATAATTAACCATATAGTCTTTCAATTAACTCTACCTCATAGTGTTCTTCAGAAACTCTAATTATACCTTAGATTATCATTTAGAACACCTGCTCTTGTGGGTTTCAGTAATTTCAACCTTGAATATTTTGACATAAAGATCTATAATCATTGGGAATTTTATGAAGTTTAAAAAGTACTCTATGCCCCACCTTTCTAGCTAACTTTAGCCTGTTTTACATGCCATGACTCTTTGCTTATTGAAGCTATTGTCCATCATCTTTCATCTTGAGTTACTAATCTAAGGAAATATGGATATTTAGCCTGAAAGCCAAGAGCATCAAGAAGTCCAGTGTCCTTATTCTCAGCTTATATGACTGATACCAATTATCACTATATTGGAAAACAACAGGGATGGCCCTGAGCATGGTTCCTAGAAAGCCCATCCTCCTACCTAATGATATTCATAGGCAAAATGTGTCAAGCTCTGAATGAGGTAAAGCATACCATATGCATAATAACATTTTTATTTCAACATACTAATTTAAATGTCCATAGGCACTTTGTCCATACCCTGCAGATTTGCCCAGACTAATGACCAGTGGCCACAAGTGGAAGCCAATTGCACAAACTGTTCCCTATTATTTTTTCAAACTTCTGTTGTCAATTTTATTCTTAACTGACATATGATAAATTTCAAATTTTTAACTCTATCTGTTGACATGCCAAGGACAGATTAGAAATGTGATATCTAGCTTTATGAAGTTCCTCTGGGGCTTTGGCTTTGAACAACTTTGAGAGACATATCATGTTAAGCAACCTCATTTCTCCCAAGATGCTATACTTATAGTTTGGGGTTCTAAGCAAATAGGCCTTACTCTAAATGCACTATCAACTCAGCATAATGATGATTTATTTCTTCTTTGTAACTAATCAAATGTGACTATATTTTATCATATCACTCCCACTTATCCCACCCCATCTAACATTCTTGTCCCAAATGTTTTATGATAAAGTTTGATACATATCTAATCATTAACAATTCTAGTTGATAAACTAGGATATTTTACTGCACTAGTCTTAAAACTGAAGTTACACAATTAGTATAATTAAAGGAAAAGGTTTCAAATTTTATATCCGGGTGCAATATGAAAAACAGCCAACACTAGAAGTGATATCAAGTGAGAAATTATGCATGCACCATAGGCCATGAATCCAAAATTTGGAATTTATATATTACAGCTACCCCTATATAAGTAGACTACATCTTGTAAAACTGCTTGGTATGGTCTAATAGCACATTAGATGTACAGAGCTGTTTTAACCATTTGACCTAGTTTTTACTGCCCAGGGAGGCAAATGTTAAATGAAACTCCTCTCCTTTCCTGCACTCACTCTCCTCCCCTGCCATAGATATCATCAAAATAGATTTAGCTTTTATTTTAGTTTTCTATGACTAGTTCTATGTCCCTTTGGCCCAATCAGTAACAATCTACTCAAATTTTTTTAAAGATAGCAAGCTGTATCCCATCCCTAGGGCATAAAACCCAGAGGCCATCCATTTCAGTGCTTTATAAATAAAGTTTTGCCAAAGCAGCATTAGTGGAATCTTGTCACAACTAAATCCCAATAGTGCTCGAGCTTTGCATTAAGCTGCTGTCCTTGACCTGTGGGAGAGGTGATTTGCCATTAGGTTTATTAGAGTATCTCTGGAGCATGTTAGAGAAGCATTTTTTTCCTAAATTCAAGATGGATGGGAGTTCATGCACAATCAAAGGTAGGTTCATTTAGCCCAGCTGTACAACTAAGATTTTGACAGAAGACTGATATTTGAGTCACAGAATCATCAAATTTAAGGGCCAGAAGGGATGTTGAGAGAATCTGTTCCTCTTTGAATGAATAAATAAAGAAATCTCCATGAAGGAGCAAATGCAAAAGTTTATTATTGCTAAGGAAACATAACAAGGATTGGTCATCTAATTTGCCACCTGCCACTGTACCCCTCTCCTGACCCTCCCCAAAGAAGAGACCAAGGACTCTAATAGCTATGCATAACAGTTTGCAACAAGTCACAAGGAAAATATCAGCATTATCCACATTTTGAACATTCCAGAAGCAAGAGAGCCTACCTGGCTTACAGTTGTGGCCTCAAGTCACTGATTGATATGACAAAGTCAACAATGTCCAATTTGGCCATCACAAAAATGGTTAGCAAGAAATACATAAATGGCTTTTGGGGCTCAGAGAGAAAATAACACAAGCCACTGCTTTCTATGCTACACTTGTTGCAAAGACAATAATCTAACAAAAGAAAAAATTTGTGCCTAGGAGATATTTTCTAGGCAAACCAAATTTCTATGGTATTTCAGCTTCATGATCTCTCTGATACTTCGTCACGTATTCCCTTTATCCACAATAGTCACTCTTAGAAGGGGACCAACTAGCCAAAGGGAAGCAGCCATTGGATGATGGCGACTGGCGGACTGGGAATGGGGTGCGTACCACCTGGCAGAAACCAGTGGAATCATCACCAAGTCTCACATCATCTGGGGAGCTGTCCTAGGAGACAGATGAGGATAGAGAAGTAACTATCTGTGGCTATCACCGCAGAGCACATTTTCCAGTCCAATAGTAGTGAAAAATGACCCATGTCCTCACAGACAGATAACCAGGTCTTATCCTTTCTTTCCTCTCCAAGTATACCTCAAAAATGGATAGTCATTCCACTGATGACTAGACTAGTGTTAGGCTCTGATTGGTAGAAAAAGGAAGAAGAAACAGGTGGCTTTGATATATCCCCCAAATCAGCTGCAGGCAGGCTGTACACCTGAAAGTAGAGGATGGAAATTTTTTTAAAGGACCTAAGGAAAGTTCAATCCTCCTGCTCCTAGTTCTAGTCTCCTATCGCCATCAAAAATTCCCAGTGTTTTGCTGACCAAGTCTACTTTTTGTTCATATGCCTATTTTAAATTTCAAAAAGAAATGGATGCTAAAGAAAATAAATCTCTATGTAATCTTGGAATTCCTTCAAAATTTGAAATCCAACTTGGTATATTTCAACATACATCTATCTGGTACCTCCAGTGGGCAAGGAGGCAGGATGTTGCAGTTGAAAGCACATGAAACTTGTAATCAACAAGATCTGAACTTGAATCCTAGTTTAGCCAATTACAGGCTATTTAAACTTGGATTATCACATAAACCTTTGACCCTTTCTTTCATCATCTGTAAAATAAAAACAATAACCTGAATTTCACAATGTTCTCAGCATTAAATGAGGTAATACATGTGCAAAAGGTCATAGGAATGTCAGTTAATACCATTTTAGTTACAACACGTTTTCACCCTTCCAGAAGCAATATTCAGTATAATTGGGAAGGTACAGCTTGATAGAAGCAGCAGCTTAAATGCATATGGTTTGTTTCCTAATAATTTCAGAGAAGGGACTATGTGAAGCCTTTTTTAAACTTAGCCACCCTGTTCTCCAATAATCCTTCATTTTATATATTGTATGTTTTTAATCTCTAATCCTCTTTTATAAGCAGCTTGTACTCCAATCACAGATATTGCCTCTTGAATTCTTTTTGACCTGGAATGAAAATGTAAATGTGCATTAAGGAGAAAAAGTCCAACCAGTATATCATATTTATGATTTACTCTGCTAGAGGAGACATGGAATAATTTTTATTTTCTCAATGGATTCAGCTTCTCCATGTTACTCATTATTAATTTTTTTTTGCAAGTAAAAAGCTGACATTTAAATATATTCTGCCTCATATTGACTGAACATTATTCTAGGGTTTTCAACAGACTGAAGCCTAGACTTCCTTCTTTAATTACATGCTAATGTTCTTGCCCCAAAATGCTCCAAAATGTGTTGCTGAATCATAAATTGTTCTGAGACCATTGTTGGTGGGGTGAGTGGGGAGGGGTTTAAGATAATATGGCTACACTGTAGTTATTGCTCCTGGGTACTCAGATCAGCATGCATGTTCTTGTTAAAAAATAATAATAATTTTCTTAAAAAATGTCTTTCTGAGTACAAAGACCAAAGTGGAAATCTCCTTTATCCTTAAGGACAGAGTTGCCAGGTTCTGGGCCTTTGTGCTTCCCATAGGGCCATTGGCTTAGTTCTGATTTTTTTGCTTTCACATCTTTTACTATAGTAAAACACAAATGTAAATCTTTTGAAACTTAATCATTAATTTTTCAATTAAAAATTTATTTAAAAGAAAATTAGTTCTGGAAGGGTGTTTATTTTGGAATCTGCTATGCATATTCTGGAGTGCATTTTTGCTGATTTATTTCCCTTTTGTTGCTATAGGTTCTAAATGAGCAATGGATTGAGTTCCATTTCACACTGATTATAACTTCGGTGTATGAATATGAAGAGAAACAAAGAGAGGGTATATTAGTCATGTTTTTATTTTCTATATTTTATGATGCTCTGACATCTTGGGGACTGAGGAGCTAGGAGAGATTGTTCTTTCCCAGGGTTAGCTAATTCCTAGAGACAGCAAAAAATTTGACAGGAATAAGACTTTGATATGCAAACCACCAATCCTGAGTTCATATCCTCCCACACCCACCTCCTTTTACCAGTCTCCTGTGATCCAGAACACCACACCCGTGCCCTAAATCACCTGAGGGCCAAGGTACTAAACAACTAGAGGCCACCCCTATAGCCCAAAGCCCACTGAAATTCAAACTAGCCAATCCTAACTAAGCCTGTTTACCTTTCTCGTCCTGTTCCTTCCTAAAGAAAACACAATAAAGGCTTTTGGCCATGCTTTCTCCTCCTTTGCTCCTGATTCTGGACTGTGCCTGGTGTTTCCCCATGTCGCCTTGTATGGTACAGCGTGCCCCCTCCTCTTAGGAACTGTGAGTTGTTTCCTAATCCATTGCCCTCACCATATCTGAATAATGATGAAACCTACATTTATGAGAGGGAGAGAGAGAGAGAGATGAAGAAGAAAGCAGATAAAGAGAAGGAGGAGGAGGAGAAAAAGAGGAAGAAGAGGAAGAAGAGGTTTGGGGAGAGGGAGGGAAGAAAAAAGGAGAAACAAAGTGAGGAGAAAAAAGAGAGAAAACAAGGGAATGAAAAAGAGAGATAAGCTCTGCCTTTGTGGAGATTTTTTTTTTAAATTGAGATGGAGTGTCGCTCTGTCGCCAGGCTGGAGTGCGGTGGCACCATCTCAGCTCACTGCAACCTGCACCTCCGAGTTCAAGCAGTTGTCCTGCCTCAGCCTCCCGAGTAGCTGGGATTATGGGTGCACGCCACCACGCCCAGCTAATTTTTGTATTTTAGTACAGATGGGGTTCCACCATGTTGGCCAGGATGGTCTTGATCTCTTGACCTCGTGATCTGCCTGCCTCAGCCTCCCAAAGTGCTGGGATTACAGGCATAAGCCCCCGTGCCTGGCTGCCTTTGTGGAGCTTTTAATCCAAGTGTCAGAAGTGTTCGAACCAGGGCAACTCCATCTGGAAAGGGACTGGGTGAAATGGGGCTGAGACCTACTGGCTGCATTCCCAGATAGTTAGGCATTCTAAGTCACAAGATGAGATAGGCGGTCAGCACAAGATACAGGTCACAAAGACCTTGCCCATAAAACAGGTTGCAGTAAAGAAGCTGGCCAAACCCCACCAAAACCAAGATGGCAACGAGAGTGATCACTGATCATCCTCACTGCTACACTCCCACCAGTGCCATGACAGTTTACAAATGCCATGGCAAAGTCAGGAAGTTACCCTATATGGTCTGAAAGGGGGAAGCATGAATAATCCACCCCTTGTTTAGCATATAATCAAGAAAATAACCATAAAAATGGGCAACCGGCAGCCGTCAGGGCTGCTCTATGGCATAGCCATTCTTTTATCCCTCTGCTTTGTTTATAAACTTGTTTTCACTTTACTGACTCACCCTGAGACTTGCATGAGATCTAAGAATCATCTCTTGGGGTCTGGATTGGGACCCCTTTTCAGTAACATAAGTGGGAAGGATAGGAACTAGCATAGTACATGAAGCATAATAGAAATAAATCGACTATTTACTAAAGAACAACCATGTAGCAGAATTAAGAATCTTTGAAAGATATCAAAAGTAAAAACTAGTTATATTTGTACATAATTTTATGGAGTGGAAGTTGAAATCAGTGGAATAATGATATTAATATTTAACTTGAAATATGAAGATTCAGTTTTCCCATATTTAAATAAAGAAACAGCATAAAAGCACCTGCTTTGCAGGGTCATTGTGAAGACTTAATACAATAATCTGTCTAAGCAACAAGGAAAGTGCCTGGCACATAGAAGATGCTCAATCAATGTGACTTTTCATCCTTTTCTGTTAATATCTGTCACATTAAATATATAATATAAAGAAATTTCTGTCTATGTCATTTAACAGTGGGGTGACAATAGGACACTGAAGGATTTTCAAGGAAGTAGACTGCATGTTCTCTAGCAGTAGTGAACACTGAGAACAGTAAAGTCTTATCAAAAGGTATCCCAGAGATTATAAATTAGAAGGTCTAGGTTGTAGCTAGATATATATATATTTTTAAGTTCCACAGTTTATTCTGATATGAACTTTCTGTTGAGGGCCCTTAAAAACTCCTTCTCAGGTAGGATGTTTGTTGTATGAAATTATGATGCTGCTATATTTCTTTTTTTATTGAAACTTTTATTTTTGACAAATAATAATTATATATATTTACAGAATGCAATGTGATCTTTTGATATATGCATACATTGAGGGATGATTGTATCAAGCTAATTAACACATTCATCACCTCAGATACTTATCATTTTTTGTAGTAAAAACATTTAACATACACTTTCTTAGCAATTTTGAAATATATAAGACATTATTATTAACTATGGTCACTATGCTGTACAATAGATCTCAAAAAGTTATTCCTCTTGTTTAACTGAAACTTTATACATTTGATATACATTTGACCAACATCTCTTCATTCCAATTTCCCACCCTTGCTTCCAGTAACCATCATTCTACTCTCTGCTTCTGTTAATTCAACTTTGTAAAATTCCACATAAAAGTGAGATCATGTAGTATTTGTTCTTCTGTGCCTGGCTTATTTCACTTAGCATAATGCCCTCCAGGTTCATCTATGTTGTTACAAATGACAGAATTCTCTTCTTTCTTAAGGCTGAATAGTATTCGATTGTGTACAGATACTATATATTCTTTATCTATTCATACATTAATAAACACCTAGATTGATTCCATATGTTGGCTATGGTGAATAATGCTGAATGAACCTGGGAGTGCAGATATCTTTTCAACATACTGATTTCAATTCTTTGGATATATACCCAGTATTGGGATTGCTGAATTATATGGTAATTTTATTTTTAGTTTTTTGAGGAACCTCCATAACTTTTTGCATAATTGCTCTACCAATTTGTGTACCCACCAACAGTGTACAAGGGTTTCCTTTTCTTCACATTTTCACCAACATGTTATATTTTGTCTTTTTATTAATAGCAACTCTAACAAATATAAGGTGATAGCTCATTGTGGCTTTAATATGCATTTCCTTGATGAGGAGTGAAATAGAGGATCTTTTCACATATCTGTTAGACATTTGTATGTCATCTTTGAGAAATATCTATTTAGGTCCTTTGCCCATTTTTTAATTGGGTTATTTATTTTTTTGCTATTGAGTTGAGTTCCTTATGTGTTTTAGATTTTAATCCCTTCTCAGATACATGGTTTGAAAATATTTTCTCTCAGTCTGTGAGTTGTCTCTTCACTCTGTCATTGCCTTTGGTGTGTAGAAGCTTTTTAGTTTGATGCAATCCCATTAGTCTATGCTTTTGTTGACTGTGCTTTTGTGATCACATCTAAAACAATTTTCTCCCAATAGTTTTGTGGTTTGGAGCCTTATACTTAAGTCTTCAATCCCTTTTGAGTTTATTATTGTATGTAGTATAAGGGTCCAATTTCATTCTTTTTTTTTTTCTGTGTCACAGCCTCAGGAGTTCCTGAGGACATGTGTCCCCCAATTTTATTCTTCTGCATACAGATATTTAGTTTTCCCAACATTTATTTAAGAGTTTGTCATTTCCTTTGTATGCTCTTGGCATCTATTGAAAATCAGTTGACTGTAAATGCATAAGTTGACTTCTGGACTTTCTGTTCTGTTCCATTAGTCAAGGTATCTATGTTTATGCCAATATGCTGTTTTGATTACTATAGCTTTGTGATATATTTTGAAGTCAGGTAGTGTGACACATCTACCACATTTCTAATTATTTCTTTATCTTTTTGTACATTCAATGAGATTTCATTTAATACTTAACAGTGTACCAAGAACTAAGCTAGACACCAAAGATACAAAAAATAAGGTGCAATTGATGATCCCAGGGATGTCTTTAGTGAGGATCACAAACTTCAGAACTAACTATTATAGGAAAGAGGTACTATTATATAAATATATCTAATGTGTAATGAAAGCACAAAGGAGGGAACTGTGTCATGGCCTTATTATGGATTCAATTGCAACTCACTTTTATATTGCCAAACATAAAGAGTATTTCAGTACAAACTATGAATTTTTTGTTTTCAAGCAGCCGTTTTTCAGTAGTTTTCAATTTCTAATAGTTCTCATTGCCTGATGCCATTGCCAAAAGACCTGGTCCAAATCTCAGAGCATAGACACTCAGACCAGAGGATGCCTGGGTTCTAATTATGAATTCCTTTTTACCCTTAGCTAAATTGTCCCTGGTGGGTAATTTACTTATCACTTAATATCTATGACCCAGTTCCTCAGTCCATAAAACTGAGACAATAATATTTATCTGCTTTTTATGATTTGGTATTCAACTTTTAAGTAACATTTTTTATTTTAAAGGGACCTTATAATTCTTAGTTAGTTTTTCCTAACTAGCTATACCTGCCTCACAGCGATGGCATGAAGGTAATGAATTCATTTTGGCAAATGCTTCCAAAGATGAGATTTTTATTCCATTATTTGGTAGTTTATTTTGGCATTATGAGACTTCCCAAATTTGCTTGCCCCCAGGGGCAGCCCTGGAGGCACAATGCTTTCTTACCACAGTGTCTCTTAAATGGTTTAACAGGAGAACATAGCATTGATTCAGAGAAAACATTTTTAATACATACTCTAGGTCATGTAAGAGAAATTCTTCTGATGCTAAGTATAAACCTGGTGAATGAAGCAGAAACATACTCCCAAGTATCCAGTGTGTTACCTCCAAGTTCTTCCTACCAACAGTGAAATTGTTGCTTGAAGCCAAGGATGTTGGACACTAATCAAGTTAATAGGAAACATAAAATTAAGAATGCCTGTATTATTAAGTGGGAAAAGTATATTTTTATAATTATGTAGCTGGTAAAAATGTTCATCTCTATTTTCTCATTTACTTACTGAGTAAATTGGTAAAACCTGTTTTAGAAGATGTGTACTATATAGCAGTGTGTATTTTTGGCTTTGAACGTAATCATACCTCTACTTAAGATTATAATGTTATGAAATCCATCCTAAGGAAATTATAGGAAAGTAGATAGTATTTGTATGTGTCTGTTCTTGCATTGCTATAAAGAATTAATGAGACGGAGTAATTTATAAAGAAAAGGGGATTAATTGGCTTACAGTTCCACAGGCTATAAGGGAGCATGGCTGGAGAGGCCTCAGGAAACTTACAATCATGGCAGAAAGCGAAGGGGCTACAGGGATGTCCTGCATGGCTGGAGCAGCAGGAAGAGAGAGCAGGGTGAGGTGCTACACATTTTAAACAACCAGATCTCATGAGATGTGGCCCCTCCAAAATCTCATATCCTTCTCATATTTCAAAATAAAATCATGCCTTTCCAGCAGTCCACCAAAATCTTAACTCCTCCAGCATTAACTCAAAATTCCACAGTCCAAAGTCTCATCTGAGACCAGGCAAGTCCCTTCTACCTATGAGCTTGTAAAACCAAAACAAGTTAGTTATTTCCAGGATACAATGAGGATACAGGCATTGGCTAAATACTCCCATTCCAAAAGGGAGAAATTGGCCAAAACAAAGGGGCTACAGGCCCCATGCAAGTCTGAAACCCAGCAGGGTAGTCATTAAATCTTAAAGCTCTGAAAGAATCTCCCTTGTCTCCATGTTTCACATCCCAGCAACACTGAAGCAAGGAGTGGGCCCCCAAGGCCTTGGGCAGCTCTGCCCCTGTGGCTGCTTTCATTGAGTGCCTGTGGCTTTTCCAGGCACACAGAGCAAGCTGTTGGTGAATCTGTCATTCTGCGGTCTGGAGAACGGTAACCCTCTTCTCACAGCTCCACTAGGCAGTACCCCAGTGGGGACTCTGTGTGGGGACTCCAATCCCACATTTCCCCTCCACTCCGCCCTAGTAGAGGTTTTCCATGAGGGCTCTGCCCCTGCAGCAAACTTCTGCATGGACATCCAGGCATTTCCATATATCCTCTGAAATCTAGGCAGAGGCTCCTAAGTTTCAACTCTAACACTCTGTGCACATGCAGGCTTAACACCACATGGAAGCTGCCAAGACTTATGGCTTGCACCCTCTGAAGCAACAGCCCAAGCTGTAACTTGACCACTTTTATCCATGGCTGGAGCTGAAGTGGCCACGATGCAGGGCACCATGTCCTGAGGCTGCACAGAGCAGCGCAGCCCTAGGCCTGGCCCACAAAACCATTCTTGCCTCCTAGCCTCCAGGCCTATGATGGGAGGGGCTGTCAAGGAAGTCTCTGAAATGTCCTGAAGGTGTTTTCCCTATTGTCTTGCCTATTAACATTTAGTTCTTCTTTACTTATGCAAATTTCTGCAGCCTTGAATTTCTCCCCAGAAAGTTAATTTTATTTTCTACCACATGGCCATGCTGCAAATTTTCCAAACTTTTACGCTCTGCTTCCCTTTTAAATATAAGTTCTTGTTTCAGATCAAGTTTCAGATAATCTTTTTGCTCATGCATAACAAAAGGGACCTTGCCTCATTCCCAATAAGTTACTTATCTCTATCTGAGACCTCTTCCACCTGGACTTTATCACCATCAGCATTTTGGTCACAACAATTTAACAAGTCTCTGGGAAGTTCCAAATTTTCCCTCATCTTCCTGTCTTCTTCTGAGCTCTCCATACTCTTCCAACCTCTGTCCATTACCCGATTCCAAAGCTGCTTGCACATTTTCAGGTATCTTTATAGCAATGCCCCACTCCTTAGTACCAATTTTCTGTGTTAGTTTGTTTTTGCACTGCTATAAAGAAATACCTGAGACTGGGTACTTTATAAAGAAAAGGGTTAAATTGGTTTCCTTGTTCTGTAGGCAGTACAGGGAGCATGGCTTGGAGGCCTTAGGAAACTTACAGTCATGGCAGAAGGCAAAAGGGAAGCAGACAAATCTTATGTGGCTGGAACAGGAGGAAGAGAGAGCAGGAAAAGCTGCGACACACTTTAATCAACCAGATCTTGTTAGATCTCACTCACTATCATGAGAACAGCAAGGAGGAAATCGGCTCCCATTATCCAATCACCTCCCACCAGGCCCCTCCCCCAAAATTAGGAGTTACAATTTCACATGAGATTTGGGCAGGGACACAAATCCAAACCATATCAGGATTATTTATTATTTTTAAAACATGGCACAAATATTCAACAATTAGAGAATAATTAAAGTATATAACATACATAAAATGAAACATTTTGTGAACATTAAACTATGTTTAGAAGATGTTTGTTGATAAAAATAAAATGTTCTGGAAAAAATAAACAATAATAAAGCACAAGACAGAATATACCATATGATCTCATCTATATATATGCATAGAAATTGGTTAACTCTGGATAGTAAAATTATTAGTGATTTTCAATGACTTTATTTAATATTTGTGACATTTCTTAACCTCCTAATTTTATATAGCAAGCAGTATTGCTTAACTGATCAGAAAAATTATGATAATTTAATGCCAGTTCTGAGACAGGCATTCTTTCATTCAACTCCTCTTCTATTGGCATTATTAAAGAGACATGCTATTACTTATAATGGTTACCAATTACTAAATTGGGATGTGTGTTTACAGGTATCATCTTATTTAACAAGGCTTTAAAAGTGACTTCTCCATTGCAGTATGTCCATGTGAACCTAGAAACTAACTACTTTCTTATAGCACATTCTTAGATGGCCCCACCCACCAACATCCACTTTGTATTACACTTATTCACAGTAATGTTTTTCTTCCTAATTTAAGTTACAATTTTTAGAAGCAGAGATTATGTTCTATATATTTTATATCCTACATTTCCTAGTACTGAATAATTTTTACTGAAAGAAATATTCCCAATCAGTGCCATCTTATCTAATAGACCAGAATACTCCTATTTAATGACTATATCTGCCTGATAGGCCTGAAGCCTTCTTGGGCAGTGGATCTAAAACCAACCCATCTTCTCTTCTGTTGATTCATTCATTCAACAAATACTCAGTGAGTGCCTACCATGTGCCAGACGCAATTCTAGGCACTACGAGTAAGGCTATAAACAAAACAAACAAAATCTCTCCCTCAAGGAGCTCACACCCTAATGAGAAAAAAACAAATATACACAATAGATGAAAGGTATAGTATGGTAGACAGTAATAAGTACAAGGAAAAAAACCTAAAGCAGAGAAGGGAAATGAAAAAAAGTCAGAAGGGATTGAATTTTAGAAAGGACGGCCAACAAAGACCTTACTGAGAAAATGGGACATTTGAGTAACACTTAAAGGTACTGTGGCAGCAACTTATGTTAATATCTGGGGGGGCAGGGGGGAACATTCCGTACATAGGAAATAGCCAATGCAAAGGCCCTGAGGTAAGTCCATGACTAGTATGTTTAAGAAAGAGCAAGGCCAGTCTGGCTATAGCTAAAAGTGTAGAGGATCAAAGTCGTATAAAATAAAGTTAAACATTGAAAAACGCCAAAACCATGTAGGCCCTTGCAAGCCATTATGCAGATGTTAGCTTTTACTCCAAGAGAAAAGGAGAAACACTGATACATTTTGGGCAGAGGAGTGACCTAAACACTATGTTTTATCAGCAAAGCTTAGGCTGCTGTGCTGCAGAAAGACAACAAGGGCAAGGGTAGAAGTTTTGGAAGGCTTGTAATCCAGAGATGATGGTGGTATAGACCAAAGTGAGGGCAGTAAAGGTGCTGAGAATCAGATTTTGAAGAGAATTTGCTGATGAATTGGATGTGCCTTGCAGAAGTATCCCAAATGCCTCCAAGGTTTGGATGTAAGCAGCTTAAATAATGGAGTTGTCATTAACTAGGAGGAGAAAGATTATGGGCAGACCAGTCTTGGGGAAAATAGCATAAGATCAGTTTGGTTTGTGTTAAATCTAAAATAGCAATGAGACTTCCAAGTAGAGATGTTGAATTGGCAGTTGGATATACAAATCTGGAGATCTATATATGAGTTCTGGGATGGATGTGGACATGTGGCAATCAACAATATATAGATGGGACTTAAAGCTAGGAGATCATCTAACACTGCCAATCATAATTAGAAGATTGTGAAATAACAAAATGATGTAAGAAATTCTTTTCCTCTCAAGGTAGAGAGAAAATAAGTCCACTTGACCTTTTTGCAGCATAACGTTTACCTCAATACAACCCCAGGAACATTAAGTCTTGTCAGAGCTCCAACAGGAATTACCACCACCTGTATTAGGCTTTACTAATTAGGATTCTTGTTTATCTAGTACTCTGGCCTCAGCACTGATGTCAAAAGCAGCAATGTTGAAAACAGGTAGAGGCCTGTATCAATTAGACCAGAGGCTTTGCCATTACCTGGGAGCTTGTTGGAAATGCAGAATCCCAGGCCCCAATTCTAAACCTACTTCACTGGTACATTGAAGTTTGAGAAGCGCTCTACCAAAGGCTATTAGGTAGCTCATAGAACCTTCAGGAGGTCCAGGAATCATCTTGGAGACTCTGCATCCAGGAATCATGCATAATCTCAATCTCAGGATGCTTGTAACTGTGCCTACAACATCTCTGAACCTATTAGAACAGGGACCATGTCTCTTCCTGGGGATACTCAGCAAAGAATACACCTACTGAGACTTCTGCTATTGCTGCCTCCAAAATCTTAATACCAGTCTCATCATGGTGAGTTCTAGTTACAGAACCTAGATCATTGAAGGCTGAGAAGGTGAGTTGTTGCCTATATTTTGGAATGGAAATTTCATAATGTGGAAAATGTGTTCAAAATATGCTGGCAGCCACAAGTGTAATAAATATCCCCCAAGGGCTGAAGATAAACACTGGGGAGAATATAGATAGAAAAGGAAAGCCTGAGTATTTGGAGGTGAAGTCAGAAATAAGAACAAAGCTAAATCAGATATATAAACAAACAGTAGATTCATTTTAGATACATGGCAGTAACAGGTACAGCATAAATAATAGTAGACAGGTCTCAAGGGTGAATGAGAAAATCTGCATCTACAGGATAGATTCTGAGTCAGCAATTGAAGCCAGGAACTGAAAATACAGTGTGGTGGTTTTGTTTTCTATCGATTCTGCTAAGCTGGAACTCTACTTCACAGAATCTTCTTTCCTATGTGGTTCTAGGCTTGAATTGGCAAAAAAAAAAAAAAAGAGAAACTGGTACAAGATTTAGATGGCAGACATGACAACAGCCATTTCTCTTTGAGAGTCCTAGTGGTTAGGCACAGAAGACAGATGCAGCAGCAGTCAGCTTGTTCTTCCTCTTCCCCATTCCACATCCAGCTCTTCTGCCTGTCAGCTGGCCTGATGACCAACGGTGACTGCAGGATGACCCACAGATGCAGAGATTCTGCCCTTCCCTATTCTTCTCCACTGCTCTCCTGTGTGCTCTCATCCAGCAGCTGGATATACCCGGCTTTAGGAGGGTTACTTAGTGAATATTCTTTGATCCTCCAATTCCCTCTTTTGGGCCCTTGTGTCCCCAGCTGCTCCTACAATCATGTAGGCCAAATTCCTATGTAAACCTCTTACTCCATAACATTCACAGTGCTTCTGCTTCCTCAGTTGAATCCTGACTAATAGTTATAGCTACTAGAATTGGCTCCAGGGAACAGAACCGTAAGGATGGGAATCTGACCATCTTACTCTGATAAAATTAGATTTAAAGGCATTAGTGACTCTGTGCCCAGTGGTTTAGGAGACACTAGTTGTTCATGGAATGCTATGGCAAAATAGTTATTTTAATCATCATCTGTCATCACTTATCATCAAATTCTTGTAGAATATAAGGCTTCGAACAAACAAGAAGTTGCTACCATACAATTTTATAGTGGAAATAAATAATACATTAGGTTGGTTTGTTGCTTCTGAGTGCACTTCTGAACACGGAGAAAGAAAATCATTAAATTTTCAACTCCAGGTCTGGGTGAAGAATTAGAAAGCTTTTAGGTCTATATCAACTTGGCTGAGTTGTAACTATGTTTTCTAAAACGTAGGCATTGATGCAGAAGAAAGTCACTAACCAACCCTCCTCAAGCACTGGTGCAGGTGGACAAGTTGGAAACTTCAAGTTCAATGGCTCTAGGAAAGTCCAGGCTACCAGTGTGAGACCACAAAGGGGAACTGGTAGAAAAGGCCAAGGAAAACTGTTGCCTCTGCACAGCCGGTGTCTGAAGCCTCAGATCTAAAAAACAACCCCAAAGTGTAATCCTATAGGTGGCTGAATTACAACACAAATTGAATTCACAACCTCACAGGGTCTCTAATGCTCAATGTGCTTTTGTTATTTGCTTTTGGTATGAGAGCTGTGCCCTGTAAGTATATATCAATAGGAAAATTAATGAGAAGAATTCAAGAAGTTACATCCCTAGGAATATACTTTTTTCATTTTTAAAACTTCCAAGAGTAATTTACTCAATCAATATAAAAATATGAAGAATAGGAATAAATGCAAATCAATGAGGAAATGAGAAAAATTGGGTTGCTTTCAAAATTGGTATTGGATTTCATAAAAACAAATTAGCTGAATTACTGCATTTTCCACATTTTATAGAGTCACAGAATTTTAGAGTGGGAAGAAGCTCTAAGGCTCTCTATTTTGCAGCAGAATACACATAGTCTCTATGTAGTCTGTTCTATTGCTTCATGTGCTTTGACTTCTTTGACTTTGGTCATTAAATTTGTTTTGAGGATTTAGCATATGAAAAACAAAGTCACAGGAGGAATGATCAGCACTGAATTTTGGACAATAGTTAACCCTGGGTTAGGTGTAAAATGGAAAGAAATGCAGCTGGCAAGAGTACAAGGAGGCTTCCAGTGCATTTACAATGTTTTATTTCTTAAGGGAGTGTTAGAAACACAGTCCTGTGTTATATTACTTCTAGCATTTTGTATGACTGAAACATTTTATCAAAATAAAATGGTAAAAACAGATTTAGCATGGGACTTATAAATAGGTTTTTCTCTATTTTATCTTTGGTATGAAGATTTTAATAAAAGACATTTTACGTTGGATAAAAGGTTTCTGCACAGCCAGTCAATGAATTATACAAAGCAGCTGTCAGGAAACCTGGTTCCTGCAGAAAGGATTTTTCAAGATTTACATAAAGTTTTATAGATAGAGAATTTTGGAAAAGATCTTATTCAGGCAGATACAAAATAATGACTTACTTTGGCAGCAAGCAATGCATAAAATTGTCTTCTCTTTCCTATCCCCTACAGAGAAGAAACAACAGTGACTTTGAATGATAAGGACTGGATTCTGGCCAGAACTCTGGCCTCTGCTAGCTGTAAGGTCCCAGCTCAGGGAGGGCTTTGAAAGGCTTTTGCTGACTCAAGAAGTGCCAAAGGAAAGAGGAGGGTAATGGCACTAGCCAAAAAAATTAAAAAATCAAAAATCAAAGTCACCATTGTTCCTTCTTGCCATGAAGTACACTTAAAGAAAAGATAAGAGGAAAAGAAGTGCTCTCAGGAACAGTTAGAGCATCACATTTTCATGATAAAATAATTCTAGTTTTTAGAAATGATGATATCTGGGTCACTTTTTAGCTCTGCCTGTTCAAGGACTTATAACGACAGCATATCCTAATAATGTCTCACACACCTCACTCACATACACATGGCTTTTGTTTATTCTTGTTTAACTTGGTTTTCACATTTTTATACATGGCCTTAAGGAATGACTTTGATGCTGAATTTTTCTGGGAATAAATGAATAAGTAAATACAGAAGTCATATATACATAAAATGCAAAAGTACAAATGAATGGGACCCTCAAGTGTTTTTCAAAAACCTATGTCCCCAGTAGTTTTTCCAAGAAAGATTCTATTTCGACAACAGTTTTACCTCTCTTGACTACTGAAGTATGCTAATTTCTGGACTCTTGAATTAGCCAGGTGTTTAGTTACATTGTGAAATGTTATAACTATAGAGACAAAATGCCTCAGAAGAATAAAACTACTTTTATTTAATATTTTCCTATGAGGAATATGAAATGAAGTCCTGATCAGTTAAATGGTGCATCTTTTCAAGGGTGACAAATTCATTACCTGCTGCCCTGGAATACGCAATTGTCCAAAAATTTTGTTTTGTTTTGTTTTTCAGCTAGGGAGTTTTCTTTCACTTTGCAATTTATTTCATTTATTCATAGAATTTTGATCTGACCTTTTTTTTCTGAGTCTCTTGTACATCATGGTGGGTGGCATTCAGCTTTAACACATTATTTCAACACACACACACACACACACACACACACACACAGAGCTGTAGAAGTAGGATTTCATTTTAGTTGCAAATCTTAAAGCTGTAAGCAAAGTGAATAAATATTCTTCATGTGACTTACAGCCATCTAAGGGCTACTTAAAGAATAAATCCAGTCTACTTGAAAAATATAGAAAAACTTCTAACAAAAAAAGACTATAATAAATGCAGAATATGGTCTGTCCTGATACTTCTTTCTGCCTGTCCTCATGTTCACCTCTTTTTCCATTAAACTCCCTGAATGGCTTACATCAAACAAAAAGCTGATTAAAGTTTACCAAAAGTTTCAGTGTTTGGGAGTCAAATACATATCTCACCAAAAAGTACAAATGAATGGGACCCTCAAGTGTTTTTCAAAAACCTATGTCCCCAGTAGTTTTTCCAAGAAAGATTCTATTTCTTGGAAATAGAATAAAATAAAAACAAAAATTCTAGGTTTTTAGTTCCTTTTAAGCTTGATCTTCGTGGATAAGAATATTAGTGGTTATGATGTATGGAGAGAGAGAGATGAGAGGGACAGCAACTTTGATCAAGTCTGACTGGCTAAGACTCAGAAATACCTGCTTCTTCTCCTGCCTTTTCCTCTTCATGCTGGTGCATGTTTTCTTCAACTTGTAATTTGGTTAGGATTCCTTAGCCACTAACACATATTCAGTAGGAAAACTAGTAAACTTTAATGTTAATCTCTTTGAAGGAATTTTTTCAGTAAAGAAAAAAGATAAAGCAGTATATGGAGGAGAAAGCAGATTCAAGAAGGTATTGTTGTTGTTGTTTATGTTTTTTGTTTTGAGATGCAGTCTCATTGTCACCCAGGCTGGAGTGCAGTGGCGCAATCTCGGCTCACTGCAACCTCCGCCTTCTGGGTTCAAGCGATTCTCCCACCCCAGCTTCCTATCTTGGACTACAGGCACGTGCCACCACGCCTGGCTAATTTTTCTATTTTTAGTAGAGACAGGGTTTCACCATGTTGGCCAGGCTGGTCTTGAACTCCTGACCTCAGGTGATCCGCCTGCCTTGGTCTCCCAAAGTGCTGGAATTACAGGCATGAGCCACCGCGCCAGGCCCAAGAAAGTGTTTTGTATTGCTTTAGCTGGGGACATTATGGTATGTTTATATATTTATGGAATTTTCTTCCCATAGAGAGGAAAATATATAGATTCCAGGAAAAGAAAGGAAAAATTTGCTGAAGTGGTAACCTTGAGAAAAGGAAAGAAGCCATCTAAATCTCAATCAGAGGATTAAGCAGATACAAGCACGGACAATTCTTCCACAGTAGTAGGTGAACACTAAAGCCTGTGGATACAGTTGCTAGTGGGTCTGGTAGATGTGGTGATGGGAATATATGACACAATTTTCAGTGACATAGGAAGCAAGGTTATCACCTGAGAGTGAAGATGAGGGAGGGGGTTTTCAAGTTTTAAGGAAAGGGAGAAGGAATAAAATAATTATCTAGAAGAACAATGGAGTGAATTGACTAGGGATTTGGGGTGGGATTGCTTGGCAACTTTGACAATCCAGTTGAGGATGGCAGTCATTAATTTAAAGTGAGACCAGGCTTTGTGATGGGTTGTGTTTTAGTTTTATTTCCTCCAGCCACATTTAACTGTGTGGATGCAGGTTTTAATTCATGCAGTTAGGATTTTCTAGGTGCATGCAATGAAGATATAATAAGGCAGTGGAGATAATGATTGTGATGATAATGGTAATGATGATGAAAGACCTTGGAATCTATGTTGAGTGAAGAGAGAAATAAGGATGACAAGGGGATGAAAAACAATGAGATGGTAGTAGGATCAATTATGTTTATCACCACTGGGGATACCGTTATTGGTAATATAAAGGCTTATTGTATGTATGACAATAGGAGTTGATGACTAACGTGGGGTGGAGAAGAAAAAAATTACAAGAGAGGAAATTAAGGGCAGCATATCAGAAAGATCATCTATGTGGATATTGAAATGCCCCTGAAGTTTGAATGGAGAGCCAGTAAACAAAAGCTAAAAATGTTAAGTAATGAGAGAAAGTGGCCAAGGCTATGTGGTCAACATGGAGGAGATGAGAGTGGTATAGTCTGAAGATATAAGTAGCAAGTCTGGGAGTTGTAGGCAAGAAGTAGAAACAATGAGCTAAAGTTGTAATGAAAGCAAGAAAGACACCTACTGTAGCCCTAGGTTCAGTGGCACTGGGGAGTGGGAGAAAACAGTCACTACATTTAGAATCTTGCTTGAGTTTCTGGAGGAATTTCTATATTCACATTGCTAGTATAGTCTTCTACATGCATCTTTATGATTTTTTCTCTTTCTAAAGCTTAACATGTTTTTCCTCTTTCCATAATTATGCTATGCCTACAATGGCATCATCTCCTAGATATCTGTCAGGCTATGAGAGCTGGGGATGGGAAATCAGAGACCTAAGTGAACCAACCAGTTCACATGGTCAACATTTTATTTTTGGCTCATGTTTTCTTAAATTGCTTTAACTTTTACCAGCCTTGGCATTAAGGGGTTGCTTGAATGTGGGGAGGGAACTTGAATACCACATACAAATGTTATCTATCAATCCCCCAATGACCCCAAGTAAAATGAAATAATATTTTCCAATATAGACCCTTGACATTTCTCTATGTTAATAAGGTGTGAAGGAAAGCATCCGGAAGTAGAAAGCTGTTACTTTAATTAATTTGTAACATACATTCTACATAAAAAATGTGCTTGCCATACAAATGCCATTTCCCTCCACCACACACTCGTTTTCCACCCCAAACCCCGCTGTGAAAAAATTCTGTAGTCACTATTGACTGCCTGCATGCTTTCACTAGTATGTGGCAT
This sequence comes from Homo sapiens, assembly GCF_000001405.40. Classification (NCBI taxonomy): domain Eukaryota; kingdom Metazoa; phylum Chordata; class Mammalia; order Primates; family Hominidae; genus Homo; species Homo sapiens. Next base: position 43,005,691 of record NC_000012.12, on the reverse strand, counting down.
GGTTGTAAACATAGCTTCCATTCGTGGATATAACAATTCAATTTGTGACTATGTAATTGATCTGCCTTGAATTTCATCAAAGTACATTTGGTACAAAAAGTACTGGAAAACTTTGTATTTGTGTACTTGTGCGATTTGAACCCTAAAATGAGTTACAGTGAGGCTTCAGAACATTATGTGTTTTTAAAAATACTGCAAATTAAGTCTTTTTGATACTTTTCCCCCTAAAACCATGAACAACAAGCTCACATTAAATGGAAATTAACATAGGATTCTAAGAATTAACGTAGTCGACAGAACCAGAATCTACTAAAAGTATGTCTCTTTCCAACACTCACTGAAATGCACGTTAATTCATAGGAAGACTCAGGTTAGTCCAAACCAAGCGAAAATACACTGTCCTAACCTATTTGACTTGGCTTTGGAAATGGGAAATTTTAGGAAAACTGGTGGCCACCCTGCTCCTGTTTAATTGTGTGTGTGTGTGTCAAGTGTGGTAGAAATGTGGAAACGTGGAGGGAGATGAGATACAGAAACAAAACAGAGGAAGAAGGGGGGAGGGGCAACTCACTACAGGATCCACTCCTCGCAGTGCACTAGAGTGGCAGACTTCCTGAGCTCTAGGCATGAGATTCGCTCCAGCCTGTGTTTGGAAATGACAGCTCAGATACAGACAACGTAGGATTCTGTGGTAAATGAATATGATAGACTGCCCTGGAAGCGTCATTTAGGAATTTAGAGAAGGAAGTCATTTGATTTCTTTGTAGATCATGAGGTGGGTCATTAAGTCATTTATAGTTTAATTTCCATGTCAAAACCTCAATTTTAAACACATACACACCCCCACAAGTACACAGATCACAGAACAGATTTAATTTTTTACAGGTGCTATAGCCAAAAATCCTACTAAGTGGTTAAAACACTGAGAATATACATAAACTCAGCTTTAGAATATATTGTGAAGGTAAAGAACTGATTTTTAATTCATTTTGTGGGTCTCAAAAGTCGGGTATGTAATGTAAAGGGAATATAAGTAACATACCACCAACATGCTAATGACTGCTGAACTAATTTAACAAAATATAATATTGAAATATACATATAGCATGTAAATTCCATATTTATAATCCTAATAAACTTATAATAAAATCCCAGTGCATGCTTGTAATATTATTATTAAGTTTCATTTCCATCTTCAACTGCCTACTTTTAGCAATACGTAATACTATCTTAAGCCATTTGGGTTTTATGTGGCAATTGCATTTACCTTAACTCTTCCCTGGAGGTAGATTGACTCATTTATTTCATTCTGAAGAAAATGGATTTCTGCATCAGAATGAAATAAAAATGATTAAATATGAATTGAATCATTCAATCTTTTTTTCTGGGTCAAAGGGCATAATTATCTCCCCTGCTAAGTGCTACATGTGTGATCATGTACCAGCACTTAGACTTATAAGCAGCTCTAAAATGGTGAGTTGTGAGAAAAAGGCAGCAAGACCCCAAGTATATAACCAGAGGCAAAGGCTTCAGGGGGCGTGTGGGAGGTATAGGATCAGCAAGCCTGGGTTACTTTACTAGGCATGTGTGCCCAATCCACCCAGGTTTTTTTCAAAAAACTATCTTTGGCACTATGTAAGTTAGCTTAACAAAATGTTTCAGGACAGCATTTTTCTTTTAAACTTTTCTTTCAGGTTCGGGGGTACGTGCAAGGTTTGTTACATAGATAAACACATGTCACAGGGGTTTTTTGAGCAGATTATTTCATCACCCGGTATTAAGCTCAGTATCCAGTAGCTACTTTTTCTGCTCCTCTCCCTCCTCCCACCCACCTCAAGTAGACCCCACTGTCTATTGTTTCCTTCATTGTGTTCCTAAGTTCTCATCATTTAGCTCCCACTTATCAGTGAGAACATGCGGTATTTGGTTTTTCTGTTTCTGCGTTAGTTTACTAAGGATAATGGCTTCCTGCTCCATCCATGTCCCCACAAAAGATATGATCTTGTTCTTTTTATGGCTGCATAGTATTCCATGGTTGTATGTATCACATTTTCTTTATTCAATATGTCATTGGCAGGCATTTAGGTTGATTCCATGTCTTTGCTATTGTGAAGAGTGCTGCAATGAACATTCGTGTGCATGTGTTTTTATGGTAGAATGATTTATATTCCTCTGGGCATTTACACAATAATGGGATTGGGAACAGGACTTTTCTATACTGGGGATGCTTTGGGCAAGTGTAGTTATAGAACCAACACAAGACCCACATCCCTTTCACAAGGCATGTTTATCACATTCATCTTTTGTTTGCAGCAGTTGCAAATTCAGACTCAAAAAAGTCCCTCCACACCAATTTTCTGCATTCCAGGGCGGCTGGTGGGCAATGTGTGTGAGAGGAAAACAAAATGGCTCCACAAAATGTTAAAAGACAGTGATGAAGAGAGAGGCTTGAGAACTAAGTAACCTGGATGGGAATCCAGGCTTTTCTTTTTAATGGCTATGTGACCTCCATTGAATTGTTGACCCTCTCTGGGTCTTGTTTTACTCATCTGTGAAAAGGAAAGAAGACTTAACCTTGCAGAATATTACAAAGATTAAATGAGACAACATCCAGAGAGGAATTGCACACACTTGATGTTCAGAAACAAGGACTGTAGCTGTCACTATGCTCCGTGCTGCACAAGGGCTCTCAGGCACTTGGAGGTGGCCACACAATGGTGGGAATGCAGGCGTTCTAAATGGAGGGTTCTCAAAATGGCATACATCTGTTTAGAGTAGGGTGACCATTCTGGGATGTACCTGTGGCGCAGCATGTCTTCTAGCTAGCCCTTTTTGGCTCTCAAGTGTACCCATTTGGATAATAAATCATGCAGTCACCCCTGCACTAGAAGTTTAGTGATCTTTTTCCTAGGGGGATTTTTGAGCCACCAGATTCTCAAGCATCGGAGGGCTTCATGTCCCTTTCCAAATCCATAACTGTGATTCTTCTGAGCAGATGCTTGAGTCAAAGCTCATGGTGGAGTCTGTTATGGGTAAAACTGTACTCCCCAAATCCTGGAGTCCTAACCACCCAGTACCCCAGAATGTGGCCTTATTTGGAGATTGGATCTTTACAGAGGTTATCACATTAAGATGAGGTCATTACAGTGTGCTCTAATCTAATATGACTGATGTCCTTATTAGAAGGGGAAATTTGGAGACAGCATGAAGGGAAGACGATGTGAAGAGACACAGGGAAAAGATGATCATCTACGGCCAGGGAGAGAGGCCTGGAACAGATCCTTCCCTCACAGCCCTCAGAGGAACCAACGGCTGGCTCAAACATATATTTGATTTCTGACTTCTAGCTTCAGAACTACGAGATGATAAGTTTTCCGTGGTTTAAGCCACCCAGTCTGTGGCACTTTGTTATAGCAACCCTTGCAAAATAACACAGTCTAAAGGAGGGAGCACAGCCCTTGCCCTTTCTTGGATTCTGAGCTTTCCTGACTAGAAAAACACCACTTCCTCCCAGATTCTGAAATTATAAAGCTTTTTATGGACCATCCTATATGTCAGCTGCTTGTAGCTCTGTGGGAGCTCTAGAGAAGAAATGTTAAAATCAAACTGAATAATGACACAAATGCTCAATTAGCGATAATGACATATATCAGAGTCAAGGTTCCATTCTCTGAAAGCATCTCGGGATCACCACTCCAACTGCCTGAGAATTATAAATTATTAACACATTTATCTAGAAAGCAAAACAGCACACTATTATGAGGAATCTCTGTCCATGGAATTTACTGGTCATTCAGAGGCCTAATAATTTACTCTTTCTTCTCTAAAGTAAATATATGCAAGTTATATAAATCAAAACTATTTTTAAAGCAATATTTTTCCTCGTGGAAAAGCAACGTGTTTCTTCCAATAACTTTATACACTTCATACCCACTCATGCGTGCACGCACACACACACACACACACACACACACACACACACGCACAAAGAATCTAGAACCAGACACAGCATTTGTATACATTTTGTAAAATATCTTCTACCCTTTCAGCTAACTCTGGGTCACAGCAATGTACAAATGCTTACAGATACAAACACAGGCTTTTGTCTATTTATGCTTTTCCTTTGAAAACAAAATATCTTAAATTCTATCTAATACATCACAAAGGCTTCAACAAGTTGTTTTTAATTAATGTCAGAGGAGCTGCAGAGGGGTGTATTGGAAAATTTTGGAAAAAGGAATGTAGTTAAAAACAATTTGATTTTTTTTGGTTACATCTGCCACATATTGTTAACATTTTCAGAGAATCTATTGTTCAATGACTATTAAAAATGTTACAGATATTGTTCCTTCCCGCACAAAACATTTGACTACATCAATAATGCCTAAGCAGTACATAAACTAAATTCAGAAAGTCTACATTCATGTTTACATCATATTTTTAACTCATGCCAGAGTAGAACAACAATAAAAATTAATAAGAAAGGAAAATGACTTGTATTGTGTGGGGACTTTCTCATTCCCCAAATATGAACATATATTTGTTTCAGTTTAAATAATCCCTTATAATTTGCTAATTACCAGAGCAAGTTGAAATTAGTTCTGTTAAATACAATTTTCCCCTTTCCCCATATATTCAAATATAAAAATATCTCATGATGAAACGAATGTGGGCTTTTAAGTAACACAGACCTGAGTCCAATCCTGGCTCTTTCACTCGGGGGCTGTGTGGCCTGAAGCAAGTTTCTAGGCTTTGTTGCACCTTAGTTTCTTCAGCTTAGAAATGAGGATAATGCTTACTTTGCAGGGTGGAGGAGAGGATTAAAGACTCTGAATCAAGCGTGGGCTACGCTAATAAGGGACAAGACTGTGAAGTGCTGTGGCACTTTCTGAACATGACCACACCATTAACTCTCATGCCACACATGCTTCCACAGAAAATCCCATCACCCACAAGGAGTGGTATCTCCTTCCTTTCCGCTTCAATCTGGGCTGGCCAACCAGCTCCGTTGTTACCAAAAGGTTGTGGCAGAAATGATGCCTCATGACTTCCAGGGGAGGTGAGAGAACTCATGCAGCTTCCCCTGGTTCTCCTGGAACATTTGCTTCCCTGACACTCCTTCTGGGGACACAGCTACTGTGTTATGAGGAACCCATGTGGAGAGGAGACATGGAGGTGTCCCAGGAAACGATCCCAATGGAGCCCAGCCTTAGAGTATTTCAGCCCAAATGCCGACATATGAGTGGAGAAGCCCCCAGGTGCTTCCATTCCCAGTCTCTTGAGTTACCCCTAGTCATTTGCGTCTTCCCATTCCCAGTTGAGGCCCCAGACATCACAGTGCTATGCTGTACGTGAATCCTCACCCACATAATCCTGAGCATGGTGAAATGGATGATGTTTTATATCTCTACATTTCAGTTTTTGGTTTGTTTGTTTGTTTGAGACTCGGTTTCACTCTTGTTGCCAAGGCTGGAGTGCAATGGCGTGATCTCAGCTCACTGCAACCCACTCCTCCTGGGTTCAAGTGATTCTCCTGCATCAGTCTCCCGAGTAGCTGGGATTACAGGCATGTGCCACCATGCCCAGCTAATTTTTGTATTTTTAGTAGAGATTGGTTTTCTCCATGTTGGTCAGGCTGGTCTTGAACTCCTCACCTCAGGTGATCTGCCCACCTCAGCCTCCCAAAATGCTGGGATTACAGGTGTGAGCCACGACGCCCAGCCATTTTCAGTGGTTTTTATGCAACAATAGGTAACTGGAGCAATGCCAATAATGTGCTTAGAACTGTGCTGCCAGAAAATTGAGAGGCCCCCACATTTGGGAGCCTAGATTTCATATATGTGTGATATAGATAGTCTGTCAACACACACTCTCTAACTAAGTAGCAGCTCTTTCTTCTCTGAGCCCTTGAGATGCAGTGTCTCTGCAAAAGTGGGAGAAAGTCACAGTCCATGATCTGCAACTGCAGCACTGATTCCATACATTTTAGTATTTTGACAAAGTAAGGCAGAGCAAATGTGGGAGAAGATCAGGCAAGGATTACCCAACCCAGAACTATGCTCTCCACTAGCGTCACCCAACACCTCACTCTAGCTAGATAATCACTTGATCAATGCATTTGTCTTTAAAATGCAAACACCTCCTAGGAACCTGGGACTCCTTCATTGCAGAGCAGAAATAACCCAAATAACCTCCTTAGAGTAGAAGAAGGTAGTGCATTTTGGAGATCAAGCTTAGGTGTGGGAGGGCCTTGGGTTAGCTTAAGGCCATCAGAGAATACAGACTACCTGAGAAGCATGATAGTGGGGATTACACCAAAGAAAGGAGAAAAAGAAAGGTTCTTGAAAAGTAGGTGGGAGAGTGATAGTGAGATAAGTCCTGCCCATTTATGGCTTAAATCAATAGGGTTGGTGCTGGGTACTTGCTGGGCACTGGCAGTAGATGGATGAATTGAACCTATTCTCTGGCCTAAAGGAATTTTGCAGGCTTCCCTCGGGTCTGGTTCTCCTCTAAGCCACTGACTCCTCCAGCATCAGAACATATTTGCAAGCTAAACTGCTCCCAAACCAGCCTTGGCACCCTAGTCTGCATTTACTCATTCAGTTCCCCAGTGCATGGAGCGGGAAGTGGAGAGGGAGAAGAGGAAAGGGAATTTGATGGAGAAATAGAAGGGAAGAAAAAGTAAGCCATTTGGTTCTTCATACCTACTTTTTATCTCTCTGGATGCAAAATCCTTAATTATAAAACTGGGTCTTATGCTAACATGATTACTGTACCTACCTCATAGCTAATAAATTGTTTATTAAGTGGAATTGAACTAAATCTGGGCAGTATTTGCAGAATTTACTATTCACAAGAATTTATAAAATATGACACAAGAATGACAAAGGCTAGATGAAGAAGTCATGCTCTCAAATTCACATTCTAATCAACTTTTTTTATACTTGAGAAAAAACGAGACTGTTAAAAATATTTAGTTTGGAGACACTCACATGTATTTTAAAAAGTTTTTACAAGTAAAAGCCTTCAAAAAGATACAGAAAATCTATTGGAGCAAAAGAAAATGAAATGCTAACTTGTCACCAAAGTCATTTTCGAGGCTATAAAAACCTACTTTCCCTTCCTCAAACCTATTCACAAATAAACTTTCACACTTTGGTATTCAAAACCCGCATTGCTTCAGTTAGATCCATCGTGGAATTACTCTCAAGTCTGCAATTCTCGTAGACTGTAAGATTCTTAGCATCCCACATAACAAGAACAACTAGGCACGGGCAATTTCCCTCAGTATCTTATTTAAGAGGGACACTTCTCCCCCAGGGGAACATCAATCCATCAATCCCTTCTACCTTTCAAGGCCACCATTCCCATCTCCAAAGAGCTCTTGACTGTTCAAACATTCTTTGTATTGAACTGAAATAGATTTCCTTCTGGTCTAAATGTTTTATAAAGGTGTCATTAATAAAATCATTCAAAATTTGACTATTCCAATACAAATTTGTAACAGATTTAGGGACATAGTAAGTAAAACTAGATCTTATGTAGTTCAATAGATGCTAGACACTATGACTTTTTAAAGAAAGACGAAGGGGTAGGGAGGATTTAACACTTAATAAATATTCTTTTTACATTGATTATTAGAAGCTGCGGTGGCTCACACCTGTAATCCCAGCACTTTGGGAGGCTGAGGTGGGCGGATCATCTGAAGTCAGGAGTTCAAGACCAGCCCGGCCAACATGGTGAAACCCCATCTCTACCAAAAATACAAAAATGAGCTGGGCATCGTGACAGGTGCCTGTAGTCCCAGCTACTCGGGAAGCTAAGGCAGGAGAATCGCTTGAACCCAGGAGGCGGAGGTTGCAGTGAGCCAGGATTGTGCCACTGCACAGAGCAAGACCCCATCTCAAAAAAAAAAAAAAAGAAAATAAAAAGCTCTGTAGATTTACAACAGTGAAAGGGAACACTTACAAAGAAGAGTCACCAAAAGACAAAATCATGTTAAAAGAATGAAATAGAACAGGAACAAATATATACAGTACACAATATAAAAATGCAGCTAATAAAAGCAAATATTAGTATGGATTTTAAAAGAAACATAATTCCAAGCACAGAACTTTGATTTACATACAAGTACAAAATAAAACATCTCCAAGACAGCTTTATGTAAATTTTTATAATGCAAGATGTTTTAAAAATAAATTGCAAAGAAAAAAATCAGAACAAAGCAATATCCTTTGTATTCTGTTAGTAATACAGGATAAAGAGGCTGCCATTTTTATGCTCTGAGCACGTTTAGAGGTTGTTTAAGTTTAATTTGTAAATAATTTTGAAACATTAAAGAGACATGGGGAAGTTTGTTCTGTAAGTTAAACAGTAATATGATATCAACGTCATTAAAAATAAACTTTCACCTGTTACTAATTTTCTTCTTAGTTACAAAGTCATTGTTTGTTTGAATGAATAGAAAAAGCATCTTGATGTTGTTTATACAGTCCAAACAGGAGAACAAATTGCAAAGATTCATGTATGCTAAAAAGCAAATAAAAGAACTTTTCCAAGAATATGTTGAAAACTCAACCAGGTCTATTATAAGTCCTATATTGTCAACCTCAAACAAAGCCCCAGATAGTGCATATTTGAGTTACAAACAGTACTGCAATAGTACATCTGAGAATAATTCTTTTGTATGTACTCTTGTTAATTGTGGACTTGTAATAAACTCTGAAAATTGAGCCCTGTAGTACAAAAACTCTTCCACAAACTCTGCCAGCAAAGCAAAAAAGTATTTTGTGTGGTGCCTTTGGTTTCAGTTTATTATTATAGGAGGTGTGTCAGATTGTGTGTGTATAATTGTGTGTTTGTTTATAGTTTATGAATATGCGTGTAATTTTGGCACTGCCTTCCATTTTCAGCAGCAGACTAAACCCATGCCCAGAAACAAACGGAAATAGCCCTTGAAAGGTACAAAATGACTAGATTGGGCCATTGTAACCTGGGCCATTCACATGAATAAGCAGATCATGACCACACCTTCAAATATTAAGTTTCTGTACTTTGGAATCAAAAGCCTAGGTCTGGTCGGGCATGGTGGCTCATGCCTGTAATCCCAGCACTTTGAGAGGCCAAGGTGGGCGGATCACCTAAGGCCAGGAGTTCTGAGACCAGCCTGGCCAACAGGGCGAAACCCCGTCTATACTAAAGATACAAAAATTAGCTGGGCGTGGTTGTGGGCGCCTGTAATCCCAGCTACTCGGGAGGCTGAGGCAGGAGAATCGCTTGAACCCCGGAGGCAGAGACTGCAGTGAGCCGAGATCGTGCCACTGCACTCCAGCCTGGGCGACACAGCAAGACTCCATCTCAAAAAAAAAGAAAAAAGTCTAGGTCTGTGTTTCCAAACTTGCGACTAGAAGCCCTCAGGGACACTCCACTCAACTAATGATAAGAACATAACAAGAAAAAAGATCTTCTGCAAAAACATAATTTAGGCCTTAGCAAAAAGCAGAATTCAGGTAAACATTCTATACACAATAAACTATCGGATGTCTGTTTTCTGAACCCCTTTTCCACGCCCTACTGGAAAGAACCAAAGATAAAAATGTCTAATGATTCCAGGATATTCCCAAGTGCTCCCTCCAGTTTTCCATTTCTCTCTCTTTCTCTCTTTCACACACACATACACACACACACACACATACACACACACACACACACACGAATTGAAGTAGTAAAGTCCCTTTAATCTCCAGCTTTCGTCTGCATTGTTTACACACTATGTTAGGAGATTTCAGAATATTTTTAATTTTAACAATCTAAGGACATTTATTCTTCCTGTTACCTTACAGCATCAAATATTCTCTCTCTCTCTCCCTCAATGCCCACCTGTTCCCTCACCCTCCCTTCCTGTCTTCCTCTCTCCTTTTCTCTCGCTTTCCCTCTTTCTTTCCTCCTCTCTCCTCTCCTTCATCAAATAAGCAGTACAAGCCTGTCCTATCCTGAAGTTTTTTCCCCAATTCTTTCAGCACCCCATCAAGACCCTACTCTATCTCTTTGCTCTTAATCTCCAAAACTTCCTGAATTAGTGGATTGTATTGCTGCCAGCTTTTCTCACTGTCAGTGATGCAATATCACCTTCAATCCATCTCTGTCATGTACTCCTCTCTCTTAAGTGTCTCTGGTGAACATTTTGTTGACAGAGCCTTTTCCTCAGTTTACATTCTTCACCACACTAGATCCTATTGGACTTCTTGAAATCCTTTCCCTATGGTTTCCTTAATGCATACTCTTCATTCTCTTATGTTTCTGAAAATCCCTTCTCTGCATTCTTCTCCAGTCCTTCCTCTGTATTTGTCTCCATAAATTCAAGTGTCCTTAAAGGATCTTTCCTTCTCTGTTTATTCTACTGTTCACTCATTTGGTGCCTGGTTCAATTTTTACAGCTTCAACTCACAGCTCTGTCCAAATGGCTTCCAAATCTTTTTCTGATCCGGATTTCTCTCCCGAACCTCCACTTCACATCTCCAGCTCTGCATCAAACACTTGCACTAAGGGCCCCTCCCTCTGGGGCATCTCTCACATTTGCTTCCACATTTCATGCTCATAGCCTCTACTCTGGTCCAAATGCTTGTGGCCTTTTGCCTGAGCCCCATGAAGGGCTCCCTAGCTGCCTCCAGCCTCATGCTCCTCTAATTTATCACCTATCCCGCTGTCAAATTCACTTCCCGAAAGTTCAACCCTGACCATATTTCTCCTTTTCCAAAACTTTCAATACTTCTCCATGATTCCTATGGAATAATGCCCCCATTTTCTTTTCTGTGGCATTCCAGAGCCTCCATCCATTTATCTTGATTCCCATTCCCCACCTCACTTCTCATGATCACCATCGAGTAGCTTTCACTTTAGCTGAAATGAGCCATGCAGAGTCCCTTACACCTTCTAAAATCTCCTTACTTACAGATTTTCTTTGGCGTGGAACATCTTTTTGTCCATCTCTGCCATTTCTAAGCCCCACATCAACCTGTAAAGTTAACACTAAACATAAGTGACCATACAGGGTCTTCCCTTTTCTATCCCCACTTCCCACCCATGAGGGAAACTCCATCCTCACCATAAACTCATTAAATATAGTCTCCTCTGAACCACTTTCTACTTTGCATATGTTATTTGTAGATATGCCCTAAATTCCCTATAAACCCTTCAAGGCCAGAGCTGTGTTTGTCCATAGCGTCTGGCACAGTACCTGGTGCATGAGAGTTTCATTTCTGTTTTATTCCTTTAATTGGCATTTACCGGATACTGTCCTATGCATTGGGAATGCAGTGGTGAGTGAAACACAGTTCTTGCTTTTATAAGGTTTATATTGTAAATTTAAGAGAAATGTTTATACATAAAAATTTTTGAGAAAATATTTAGTTCGTCTAATTGTCAATATTTTGTGGAATGGGTGTTTTTTTTCTATGTAAATCCAAAGTATTATCCTATCACAGAAGGCGTAAGTCAGTTTTCCTCAGGAAGTAGAGAAGAAAGGCTTTGGTGTGGCTTCTCTAGCAGCCAGCCCGGGAATTTTCTCTCCCGTCCTTCTCCACATGGACAACCTTCATTTGTTCATATCCGTCCTTCTCCACATGGACAACCTTCATTTGTTCATGTCCGTCCTTCTCCACATGGACAACCTTCATTCGTTCATGTCCGTCCTTCTCCACATGGACAACCTTCATTTGTTCATGTCCGTCCTTCTCCACATGGACAACCTTCATTTGTTCATGTTTTATCTTATTCCCACTCTGCCTCTTGCTACATGGAACCTGGCATTATACGGAAGCCTGGCCTTTGTCCTCAAAGCCTTGACCTTGTTCCCTCATAACTTTTAGGCTGCTTATCTAGACTTGATACAAGTCCTAACCATTTTACAAGTTTGACTATGTTTTGTTTTTAAACAATGGATAAATGGATGATCCGAGTCCACCAAAGCTATATGGAGGACAATTCTGCAGCCATTTTGTCAGAAACCTTGGACACCCGTATTGACTTAAGCGACAATGTTGAAAAAACACAAAAACAAAAAACTCCCAAAACCTCCATTTCTGAATGCAATGCGGTGACAACCGTTGAAAATCCAGCTGCTCGGGACACACCAGGTGCTGGGTTCCAGCTGCTGCCTTCAGCCTTAGGAGCCAAGGAAACCACGTCTCCAGTTTGAGATTTGCTCTACTTGCTTCTTTCCTGCGGATAAATGTAATTTCTCTGGAAACAAGGACCATATTCATCAACTGAGAATTAGGATCATTCTTCATCCAACCAAGCTTCGTTTTCTCAGGCCCTCCATTCCTCTCCCCTCAAAATATGTCTTTGCTTCTCAAGTTCATTTAGGGACTTACTACCAAATGTACACACTTTTATGCTATCTGCAATATTTCAAGGTGCTAATTAAGAACATCTGCCTTTCACCACAAATTTTTACATCACATCCCAATAAGAAAAAGCAGAAGCGTCTTCTAGGAATTCTGAAATGCAGGAGATGTATGGTGTGCTCTTGATTTCATTTGCTCTCTAGGATCAACAGAAAGCTCTTATACCTATTTTAAGCAAACTGTCTTTGTAGCCTCAGATGCAATTCAGTGAATGCTGCTGCACACAGAAGGAATCTGCCTCAAATAACTAACCCCGTTACCTCCTTGTTTCCTGCACAAATTCCTCTGTGAGGGACAAAAACAGGGCTTCTTGTTCCTTTTAAGGAAATAAGGTTTTTTAAAAGGCTTGCAAGCTCAAAATGGAATTCAAAGTCAGCAGTCTTAGGAGTATTATACCAGGCTGTAGAAGGTAAATTAAACTGGAGCTAAGATCATGGCCAAATTAAATAATTTTATAATATCTCCAAATCTTTTACCACATATATTGTCTTGTGCTTATAAACTAAATTTGGAAATAGCTTAACCTGGGTCTATTTTTTTTTTTTTTGAGACAGAGTCTCACTCTGTCGCCCAGGCTGGAGTGCAGTGGCGCGATCTCGGCTCACTGCAAGCTCCTCCTCCCGGGTTCATGCCATTCTCCTGTCTCAGCCTCCCGAGTAGCTGGGACTACAGGCGCCCGCCACCACACCTGGCTAATTCTTTTTATATTTTTAGTAGAGACGGGGTTTCACCGTGTTAGCCAGGATGGTCTCGATCTCCTAACCTCGTGATCTGCCCGCCTTGGCCTCCCAAAGTGCTGGGATTACAGGCGTGAGCCACCGCGCCCAGCCAACCTGGGACTATCTTAACCCCTAGGACTATGTAAAGGATTTTTGGAAGTTACATTAACTCTTTCTAGCTATAATAAGACCTATTTGACATTTGAAAATCATCATAATGATAATTTACTAAATGGTCTCTGAAAATAACAATGCAGTTTCCAAAAGAACTCATTTTGTTATCCTGTAAGCCATCTCCTATGGTATAAAGCTCAGCATGAATACATAGGTATATTACATTTTCTCAGGCCATAAGTACCTGGGGCAATAATGGGATCAGAGGAAAAGAAACATTAATCTCCAGTTTAGTCCTACTGTGGAAAATCACTGCTCCTCAGCCCCCAAATTCCCTCAGTCTAATTCAGGATAATCCTGAGAATGTCTCACTAGTGTTCACAAATAAGGGGTCTCTTGGTCCCCTATAATACAGCCTGTTATTCACATCTTATATAGCATAATTGATATTTTGGCAAAAACAGTTTCATGGCAGCTTTTAATCACTCTTCATTCAACAGCTAGATTTTGAGCACCTTGTGTCAAGCAAATTGCTGGGTATTAGGAATTAAAAGAATGAACAAGAGAGACTTAGCCTCTACCCTTGTCGAGCTTGTTGTCTTGACCTTCTTGCTACCCTCCTTCCCTGGTTGCCAAAGCCACATGACTCCTCTATGTTACCTCAGTCGTCTCCAGCTGCCTACTGCCTCTCTTCCACTGAGCTCACTCACTTTGTTAGCAGACAGAGCACCTTGAGGCACCTTTTGTGTTGCAGTTTTTTATATTAACCTCAACAGGTTTCCATAAAATGGACCACTAGACAATTCCAGGGACATTACACTAAACAGAACTTGAAATGATCTCCTCCCTAGAAATAGTGACTCCAGACAAAATGTATGTACATTGTCTGCTTTCAGGATGACCCAGAGTTCAATATCCATTTAATCTGTTATGAGATCAAGAAAAATCAGAAGACCAGGTCTCTTACTTGCTATTGGTATTTGAAATCAACTAATTGCTCCCCAAAATTCTTTAATTCATTCATATTAAAAGTGCAATAAAAGGGTAGGGATAAATTTAAGGACTTTGGGTTAAATAGATCATTTCCTCATCATTTTACTCTACCACTGGAAGCTATAATGCAAAAATGACAGGGAATCAATGAATCCCAATGTCTAATTCAAGATTTACTCCTCTTTAATGCCATTTTCAACAATTTCAGAATATAATATCGACAAAGCCAAATGCCACATGACTGGTTAAGATCACTAATTAAATCAACAAATATCTAACAGTTCCTACAGAGAATAAAAATTAGTTCCAATCCCTGCCCTAAGAGTATCAGCATAAGGAGGTGGGAAAGAGCCTAGGTTTTGTGGTCATACACACCTAAGTGCAAATCCCCATTCCACCCCTTACCAACATGGGACCTGGGCAAGTCCCTCAAACTCTCTGAGCCTCAGTTTCTTCACTTTAAAAATGAAGGCAATAATGCGTAGATTAGAAAGATTTCACCAGGATTAAAGGAGATTAGGCACAGATAGTATGTAACCCACTGCCTGGCACATGTGAATTTTCTCTCTGCTAAGTGATTATAAATCCAATAAAGGATTTGGATAAATACACAAATAACCTCAGTAGAAGGCAATAGGAGGGAAATGCAATAATAGCATTACAGTCAAACCATATAGACTTCAAAAGGAGATAGCAGTCCTTGCCATAATCAGAGAAAACTTCAGGAAATAACATCTGAGCTAAGCCACATAGAATGGTTAAGGTCTGGGTAGGTGAAGTTGAGGGAGGACTTTAGAAACAGAGAAGATGCAAGATTCAAGTCTCAGAGGTAGGAAACAGCAGGACAGAGCACTGCCTGAGGGACAGTACTCATCCTGTTGGCATGACAAGACTCAGTGTCATGGTAACAGCTTCAGATCTTCTCACAACCTATAGGTAAAAAGAACTGTAAGACTCAAGCCCAAATTGCCTTTTTCTTTGGAGATGGAGTCTCACTTTGTCACCCAGGCTGGAGTGCAGTGGTGCAATCTCAGTTCACTGCAAACTTCACCTCCCAGGTTCAAGTGATTCTCCTGCCTCAGCCTCCCCAGTAGCTGGGATTACAGGTGCCCACCAGCATGCCTGGCAATTTTTTTGTATTTTTAGTAGAGACGGGGTTTCACCATGTCGGCCAGGCTGGTTTCGAACTCCTGACCTCAAGTGATCCATTGGCCTCGGGCTCCCAAAGTACTGGGATTACAGGCATAAGCCACCGTGCCCGGCCTAGTCATATTATTGATGAGCCAATGATCACAGAATGCTCTTTTCCCTGACTGGCTCAGGCTTAGGAACGTGTTTCTGAAAGCAGAACTATTCAGTTATCCCTGCATCCACCCCTTCTTATATCGCTGTGTCTTGTGCCCTTTTCTCGAGACCTAAATGCCTGTGTCACATCTCAAACCTCTGCTAACAACCAGAAGGTAGGGTCAGTCTTGCTCTCCTACTGACCTTCCTACTATGAGCAATAAAGCTTTTGCTTTTCTCACCTGTTTTCTGGTGGTCTTCTTCTAGAATGTTTGACACCTTTGAGAGAAAAATAATAATCCTATAATATTTTTTCTTTGCTGAAAGCCTTTCCAGGTCCCTAGATGAAGAGGAGACTTTTTGTCCTGGGCCATTTCCCACTAGAGCCACTGACTGCTCCTTCTGAACGTTTCACTACACTTTTTCAGGTAAGGTTCTCAGAGAAAGGCCCTATGCTGGGTTCACACTACAAATTCAAGCACGTCAAGGGGCCCAGGGGTGTTGGCTCTATTTTCAGGGAGGTTGCAGAACCCTCATGGGAAGGAACTGGAGGTTATTACCGGGATGATTTATTTTTTTTTTTTCTATCACTAAGAGAAACAGGAAGAGATGGTTAAGAAAGGGTAGGTTCAAGAGAAACAGAATGAAACCTTTAAATGGCTACAGAGTAAAAGAGACCTTCCCAGCAAGAATGGCCTAGTAAATGGGGGCAAAATTCATGCCATATTCTAGACTCACCATTCAGTCATGGAGAATGTAAAATAAATGTAGATAAATTATTAAAATTGGTGAAGTTGTAAATATCATGTGAAATGGTCTACTCTGGGTCCCCATTTAAATTGCTTTGTAAAAAAATAAAAGCCTCTTGCTTGGCACACTTTCACAGTGAAAGGTTATTATTATCTTTTTAATAAGAAGGAGGACCATTTTATACATATACATGTATTCTTGTAGAAGAAATTAACTTAAACTGTAGAAAGATGAGTTTATTAAAATGCATTGGAATTCTCATGCTATTACATTTTTTAATAACCATCTTGCTTTACGCCGTATACCCCTGTTGGTGTACAGACACATCTGGGCCTCACCCAGGTCAATAGTGATGCTTCAGTGCCTCCTTGGGAATTAGCTCTATATTCCAACACAATTCATTTTTAGTGTAAAATTTGTTTGAGCCATGTGAGTAAAAATATATTTAAATTTTTACATATAAAAGCCAAACTTTGAGCACATTTCTGAATTGCAAATATATGAAATAAGGTCAAAAAGAGAAAAAGGACCCAAATACTTGTGAAAAAATGAATGATTGATGGTCCAAACTGCAGTGCTCTAAAACATAATTGTCTTCCTGTGCCCCAAGGGCAGAACCTTCATCTTGTACATGCCAACCAGTGTATAGTATGAAATAATTTTTCTGAAGACCAAGGATCAATTTGTTTAAAATAATAGAGTAATAAACAATTTAATAAACATAAAATTATTTCTATTGTTTGATGACTTTTTTGTCAGAATTTAAAAAGTATAAAAATGCTTTTGTCAAAGTATAAAATAATATCATATAAATATATGTATATATATATGTTTCTTTTATACATGTTTCTTTTGAGGATGTTTTCAGTCAACTACTATCTAAAGGTAATATCTACTTTTATCAACTACAATCTGAATATATGTATAGATATATATATGTTTCTTTTATATATGTTTCTTTCGAGGATGTTTTCAGTCAACTACTATCTGAAGTTAAAATAAGTTAGAGGAGTTATTGTACATATTTATCTTGTATGCCATATTTTAATCAAATCTTATTATTTACTTCCAATTTAAAAAAAAAAATTCCCTCTCTCTCCATGGATTCTAGAGATACTGTGGGGAGAAAAACTGTAAATAGATACAAAATGTCCATAGTATTTATTTTCATTTACAAGATTTTGTTCTTTTTATAGCAAATCAGATATTGAATTTTTGACAACTCCTAAATCTGTCTATATCAAAGAAGGTAAAGGACATCAGAATTTATATTGATTATTGTCGGAACAAGCTTTTTAGTAATGAAATACGGTATGTTATTTTTAAGTTTTTGTGATTATTTTCCCTAGCCTAGAAAAGCAGGTGGTTAAGAACACTGCTTCAACGTTGTTATTTCTAGGTGTTGTCATTCAGGCAAGAACACCTTATATTTTTACTCTGTTTGCATGGGAATTAAATTATTAAACACTAAATTGTGGATACCAAAAATCCTTAAAAATGGCATTAGAAATCCAACCAGTTGAACAAAAAGAAAGCCATGTACTTTGTTTAAAAATGTCACACAGAGGAGAAAAAAACTGCCTTTCAAAAAGGTGGCAATAGCCCTAGCAGTATACAACTTAACCCACATGGAGAAAACAAACTTCTCAGCTACCTTTTCATGGGGTTTCCCTAAATTCCATTTTATATGCTCACCTTATTAAATCTCCCTAATGTGGCAGTTTGTCTAGAGACTGGGCCCTAATCGAGTCAACCTAGAGTGAGGTAGGTAACAGTAACTGCTGGCACCAGCCTTCTGAGGAGTTATCGTGTTTGAGAAAGAAAACATTGTCAGGGTGGTAGCATAACCCCAAGAGTAATAAAGTGGCCAGACACCTGGAAGCAATTACGTGCATGGCCGAGATTATCCATCATGCTTTGCTCACTGTCTCTCTTGCAAAGACCTTTGTTTTTACACTCTCGGTAGCTAAATTCTGGACTGAAAAGCTTATTTCACAAACGATGTTTTCCACCGAGGCCCTTCCACTTACTGCCATTCCCACAAGATGTCGATCATTTGTTTGCACAGCCCAGCGACAAACCTCAGAGCTGCTGTAATAATAGTTGGTTACTAGGCTTGCAGAAGCAGCGGCATCAATCACACTCCTGCCAGGGCAGAAACAAATGCCCTTTGCCCACCAACACCACTTAGCAAAGCACAATCTGGGTCTCTCAAATGGAAATGTTTAAACACCGCTTTCCATTTAGATCCTAATTTAATATTTTTCTAAATCAGATTATTGCTTGTAAGTCATGATTGTTCAGTTATTTCTGACATTTATTTATCGCTCAGATACCATTATTCATTAGGCTACTGGGTTGCAGCTTATGTCCCAGAATTGAATGCTTTTTTGCTCAGGTCAGAGGGTAACAGAACTGCAGAAAATTACCAGATCTCCCAATAATATTCTAGTGCCCTGAAAACTTAGTCAGCTTTTCAGATATTTTCTCAAATACTTGTTAACCAAGTCAAATAGCATTCTCGTAATGAATAAAAATCCATGAGATTTAGATTCATGCCCTTTGCCAAAAGCCCAAACACATTTCCTGTGAGAGAATTTAAGTTCTATTAAATTGGTTTCAAATTGGCTTTCTCAGTGTGATTTTGATCATTGATCATTTTGCATATCAACTCTGCACAAATGCCCCCTACGAGGAAGCCTGGGTGTTTAGCAAAGGTTTTTGTTTGTTTTTTCATTTTTTTCATTCTTGTGTCAAATGTCTTAGAAGTTTCTCTGAAACCTGCGAGAAATCTCTTCCAAGAAATCTTATATAATGGAATGTGTTTTAAAGCACAAGTTTAGGGTGGTGAATGTAAACTTTTGAGTTTATTAGTATTTACTCAAAGTTCCCACTATCTTGGGAAACATACATGACAACATTCAAATGAAACAGTCCTTATTCCTTTAGGATCTTACATTTGAAAGTTCGCAGTATTAAAAAGCAAACTAACAGCCATAAATACTTTGGAGAATAGGGGAAGGGGTAGGAGTTGGGGAACCCAAATTAGGGCTGTTTGCAAGAAAGAAAATAGCCGAGGCCCTGCGCTGTTTGTCTCCTATCACCACTGATCTCCTCTGTCGGTGGCATAACTTTAAAGGGACTTAGAGTGAGGCTCCCAGAGCAAGACTTTATTTAGGTCCTTCTGTTAGTGCCTCTATAGCATCCAAATGGTTTGATCCTTTCCATTTGGAAAACCAGTTTCAGCTACCACCTATCCAATTTCTGCAAAAGTTGCAACTGCTTCTGTAACCCCAGTTTTGCTATTAGTGGGCCACTTCTGATATAAATGACTTGTTTTAACAAAAGTTCAGCTCCATTTCTGCCAGTTTTCAGTTTCAAAGGAGATTTGTGGAACTAAAGAATTCATATTGGCACATCTATTCTTTCTAAATGAAAATTTTACATTTTAATGTTAACGCAGTTAATAGATTGTCATTCTCAGAAAACTAGAAATGAAAAAGAACCTACCCCTTTTCCATATAAACATCTATTCTCCTCAAATTTTATCAGACCCCAAAGTGATTTCCAGCCCTCCATTTCCTCTTAAATCTTTCAGCTTCTTCCTGCATCTCCTCCACCCCCAGCACCAACCACCACTCACAGCAAACACAGCACTCTGCTAATCTCGGTGGCTGAGGTGGCTGCCTTTGTATTTAAATAGCACTCAGCTGCAGTCTTTCTCAAAGCAATGTCATCACAAGGAGCTCAATGCAAGAATGCTGAAAAGAGCTTAGCAGCTGGGTCTGTATTTTCCCTTGTTTATTCACACAACAACCCACAAGTTAGATAAGCTAGTTCTTCATCAATTCCATTTTTCTTGTTCTGGGAGCCTTATCCCTTAGACTCATTTCTGAAGTAAAAGCCATTTCTCAGCTTCCCTACTCCAGGGTTCAGAAACATTTATATGCTTCCTTTGCCACTATTAACACTATAAATATTTCCAGTTGGCAAAAAAAAAAAAAAAAAAGAAAAATAGAAAAAAAATCCAACTTAGATAAGCTGATTGTGTAAGTGGAATACTGATCTAAAGAAACTAACCATCACTAGATCTCAGCTTTATACCCTCCACGAATCTCTCCCTTGTTGCTAGGTGACCTTTTCATCATTAAAAATGCTGTTCTCATTTCATTAATGTTGTCTATCATCTGGAGGAGTGGTCCCTCAACCTGACAGGGCATCAGAATCACCTGGGGAGATCTTTCAAACTATCCAGGTCCTGCCCCACCACCATCCCCACAAGATTCTGAGTGTTTATTCTGAGTGGGGGCTGGATATTTATATTTTGATAAAGCTCCCCAGGTGATCGTGGTGGGCAGAGATTTTAGGCAACACTGACCTACCCAAACCACTGATTTTTGACCAGCAGGACAGCTGCTAATGACATGCCCAGACCTTTCTGGCCCAGCACTTACCCAGCCCAGTCTCAAGTCTCTGGTTTGGCAGCACTGAAGTTTTGAGAGCCAGGCTTGTACAGTTTGTAAAATTTATCCAGATAATTCTGACATGAACCACCAAATGGGAATCAGGTACAGTGAGGTTTAATAAAAAATAAATATTTCCTAAATATAGCATCATATATTCTTTTTTTTTTTACTTTTAAAGTTCAGGGGTACATGTGCAGGTTTGTTACATAGGTAAACTTGTGTCATGGGGGTTTGTTGTAGAGATTATTTCATCACCCAGGTATTAAGTCTAGGACCCACTAGTTATTTCTCCTGATCCTCTCCCCCTTCGCACCTTCCACACTCAGGTAGGCCCCAGTGTCTATTGTTCCCCTCTTTGTGTCCATCTTTATCATCATTTACCTCCCACTTACAAGTGAGAACATGCCATATTCGGTTTTCTGTTCCTGCGTCAGTTTGCTAAGGATAATGGCCTCCAACTTCATCCATATTCCTGCAAAAGACATGATCTTGCTTTTTTTTAATGGCTCCATAGTATTCCATGGTGTCTATGTGCCACATTTTCTTTATCCAGTCAACCATTAATGGGCATTTAGGTTGATTCCATGTCTTTGCTATTGTGAATAGTGCTGCAATAAATATATGCATGCATGTGTCTTTATGACAGAAGGATTTACATTCCTTTGGGTATATAGCCAGTAATGGGATTGCTGGGTCGAATGGTATTTCTGTTTTTAGGTCTTTAAGGAATTGCTACACCGTTTTCCACAGTGGTTGAACCAATTTACACTCCCACCAACAGTGTATAAGCATTTCTTTTTCTCTGCAATCTCGCCAGCATCTCTTATTTTTCTGACTTCTTACAATAATAGGCATTCTGACTGGTGTGAGATGGCATCTCATTGTGGTTTTGACTTGAATTTCTCTAATGATCAGTGATAATCAGCTTTTCTTCATATGAGTGCTGGCCCCATGTATGTCTTTTTTTTGAAAAACATCTGTTCATGTCCTTTGCCCATTTTTAATGTTTTTTTTTCTTGTAAATTTGTTTAAGTTCCTTATGGAGCTGAATATTAGACCTTTGTCAGATGCATAGTTTGCAAAATGTTTCGCCCATTCTGTAGGCTGTCTGTTCACTCTGCTGATAGTTTCTTTTGCTGTGCAAAACCTCTTTAGTTGCATCATATATTCTAAACTCTGTAATCTAGCCTGCATATCCACACATTTCAGTCATTTGGAAGTGAGGACAATGAAGAACCCAAATCATGAAACAATCACTGAGAGGCCGTTTTGTGTCTTCACCTGTCTTCCAACAACAATGTTTAATAAACTAGTCCCCAGACAGTAGCATTTCCAGTTTATATTTAAAACCGTACAGCATAAGGAGGGCCCATAAACACCCTCAGGTGTCTAGTTCAGGATTTAACAGCCTTGATTTCCCAGACAGCCTTTCCTCTACATCAAAACCTGCATCCTTCTTGTTGCAGGTTAGGCCTTTTGTTCCTACCTTCAGCAGAGATGGAGAACAACAGATGGTGGCAAACGCAGAAATCTGGTAATGGATGTAGGATCAGTTTGTGCCTTGTATCGCTGTGATCAACACCACTACTAAATCCCCTTTTTGCTCTCTATGGTAGGATCATAGTGACAGCCCAATTTATCAACTGTGAATATTGGCATAAACAACTTCAAGGCTGGGATATTTTTCATACTCCCTTGAAAACTGTCATCAGTTCTGTAGAGTAGTAAGGAAACCATTGATCCATTTAAGAAACTGTCAGCAGGTGTACAAAGAAGTGAAAGATGGATGCTTTCGAAAGGTCTTAAGAAGGGAGGCTCCAGCTGTCTGAATACATGACTTCTCATCCGCAGTCTGACTAGCCATGGAGCAAGGGAAATTGCGAGGCAGAGTGGAACTCTCAGCACTGCATTTATCAGCATCAGGAACAATTCACTTCAGAAGGAAATTTCCAGACACACATTCCTTAGTTGTGAAGTATTTGAATTATAGCAATGTCGTCTGTGCCACAATTATCCAAAGTGCCAACTTTTGGATTATAAACTTTTGTCTCAGAAACTTCAAACTGAGTCCTCCAACCCCTACTTCCCTAAAATGATTAAAACCCACTACTTGGCATCATGCTATCCATCTTAAACACCAGCAGATCATCTGGAGTTTCAGACATCATGTATGTCATTTTTATGCCACTTACTTATGGAAAAAATATGTAGGTTTTCCTTATTTAGAGACATTTTGGTGATCTAGCAGCTTCGCTTTAACATGGCACTGACCACAAATCTAATTCCCATCAAGTGGCTACAATATCAAGTGATTTGATTAAAAATCAGTCTTAGCCGTTAGCCATCAGAAATTCTGATAGAGAGAATCAAGTGTACATTACCTCCAAAACATCATAACATCATTTGGTCTTTTTCATACAGGCTTGTTCTGGGAGATATTTTTAAGTAGTAGATATAAAACAATTTCAAAAAATTTGAAGTACTGCACAACTATAGTATTAGTATTGCGCATTGTAGGTTTAGTTTTTCAAGTAGTATGTTGCAAACAAAAGCAGGTCAATTTGGGACTTATTTTAGTAGTATCTTAGTAATGTCACATGTTATTAAAATTAGGATTGAGTTTTTTCACTACAATGCCCTTTTGTGTTGTCTGTGTTTTTATTAGTGGCTATAACTGAATCTATATAAAATGATGTAATATGAGAAAAAGAAATCCATTCATGGGATAAAATAGAAAATGACTGAAAAGTAATATGTTAAGTGGTGTAAGATGTTAAGCCCATTCATCAAAGCATGAGCAATTCAAGATTACTCTCAAAATTTGCATTCAATTCAATCAGCTATATACAAACTATTTTTTCTTTTATATCACTTGATCAACATAGCACTAACTTATGCTAAGAGCAAATAAATTCAGACTTTCCTCATAAATGGTAGATTTCATGAGAACAAACCAAAAAGAATAAAGCAAAAAAAAAAAGGAAGGACCATATTGAATAACTAAGTTCTCACCCTAAGTTCTCTAGTCTAGTCCTGATTTTTCTGGGTATGCAGAGCACTGCTTATTTTCATAACTGCACTAAATGATGCCCAAAGCCTTAGAATAGAATTAATTTGGATTATGAGAGTAAACAGTTCATTCAAAACCATTTTGCCAGTGTAGTTTACCGTAGACTGGAGGCGTTGCTTTGGCTCAGTGTGAGTCTCAGACAGGTTCATTTATTTACATACAACTAATAGACTTCCTATGACATCTCATACATGTCCTGGTTTTGTTATTTTGTTTATGATTTGGAGGTTTAGTTATTTATTTTGGGCTAGTCACAGCCACCGCAAAAAAATGAAACACATGACTAACAGTCCACTTCAAATCACAGCATTACCAGCAAGAATAACTGTCTCTTCAACATTTGGGTTCAGATGACACATCAGAGTTGAATCCAGCGTGTCTTCTTTGTCATTCCTTCTCTTAAGCATGTGAAAAGCACCACTTGGAAAGCTGTCTGAATAGAGAGGTGCCACTGCATTCTATTCACTCAACCCAAAGAACATTCTGTCTGCTCTTGTAATCTGTGGGCTTATTTTTAAATGACAGATTACAGTGTTTATAATAAAAAATACCCATTTTGAAAAGTTCCTGAATTAATACTCATGCTGAAGACTTTATGTTAGGAAAAGGAAGCATTACCGTGTATTACAGATGGTCAAGACTGCAATATGCATTAGCTAGAGACAAGGAACGAAATCACCCCCCACCAAAGCCTCAGTGTGATAATCATGATAATCTAGCATTGCTGTCAGAGCTCTTAAAATTGTCTGTGGTGGTTTCTTTAAACAGACCTATGATAATGTAGAAGGAAGGTTATTCCTTTTCTTAATTAGTAATGGATCTTCAACTTATCATATTTATATACCATTTTCCTTAAGCAGTTATCAACATCATTTTGTTGAGCTCTAAAATATCCTTAAATAGAAAATCAGAAAAGCAGATCAAACTCATCCAAATCTCCAATCTCCACATATATTAGTGATGTACTCTAGAAGCAGAATGTTTGGAATGCCATTATTTTCCTGCTGCTAGTTCATGAACCAAACACAGCATAAACAGCGTAGCTGCCTCTAAACCTAGGTTAGTCAACATTTCAGAGAAAAGGGTAACGATCAGGATCAGAACTGATTCCTATCTTCCATATTATAAAACATTACCTCTTTTAAGTAGAAACTTGAGTTCTCGAACTATAAACATAGCTTTTACATAATAGGGTAAGATTCTGAGTAGAATACAAATCTGCTTAGATTTGTATAACTGGCTCCCTTCCCGGCCATAGAGTCTTACAGTTCATCAAGCCGAAATGAAGAGAGTTCTTCTACCCACAGATGGGTGCTTCAGCTTCCTTCTCTAGACAAAGTCAGTTCTGAAACAGCTAATATTAAGTTGAACATATAAAATACAAGGGGAAATCTAAGAACATACGTTATTTTAAGGCCATAAAGAGGGGTAGGAATGACAGTTATTAGAAAATTTTGAAATGTCCATTTTATTGTCACCTAAGCCAACCCCAGTGAGGGGCAAGCATTGAGAAGATAACCCAGCCCACATTCTCTCAGGTCCCAGAGGCTTGCTGTGCAGAACCTGAGTCAGCCCTGACAACCCTGAGTTGCCACAGACTGGCTCTCACTGGAAGCCACGCTGTGCATTTACAGGTGTACACTCTTCCTGGTTGAAAGGATGCTCAGAGAATCCTCAGGCTTCGTTCCCTGTGCTGTTCCAAGCACTGGTTTGGTCAAACCCCCAGTGAAAAGCGCAGTTAGGGCAATGCCAAGTGTCACTGTTGGGGTGTTGAGATCAGAGGCACATTTTTTTTTCTAGATTCTTAAGATTTTCATGTTGAGAATGGGGGTGAATGTGGGAGTTGAGTAGGGGCTCTGAGTCAGTTGCCTTCCAGTTTAATTATGTGAAATGGCAGATGTCTCTTTTTATAGTAGCATATTTTTTCAGGTGTCTCACTGCCTTTTGGTTTGCCACAGCTGTGTCTTGGAAAGGGCTGTTAGTACTTTTGGCTTAAACAAATTAGAGCTATCCTGATATAGAAGACCAACCTTCTCCATCTTTTGTGGTTTATGCTACATATTACATCACAGCTTTCTGCTGAAATTGTTGCTAAATAACCTTAATCTTTAATACTTTATTCCTTTTCCCAGGGAGAATCAAGATCACATGGTAGTGCTTCTCAAACCTTCTCAGTTCTAATGGCACAATGTAGGATACTCTCCTGCGTTTCTTCTGCTGTAAACTTAGTATGTTTATTTTCAGGCCAAGGTACTTTGTGTTCACATTCTATAGGGATTGTTTTTCCCACTTTCTCATGTTTTCCTTTAGAGTAAAATACCATATGGCAGATACGCATGTACACTGTTTGGTAGATTAATGAATTTCCATTGAGATCACATACTCTCCTCCGCTGGGAGTTTTTTTGCCTGTACTCCACATTTCAGATTTTATAAAGCTCTTTCTTGGTAATATGACTTACAAATTGCATATTTACATCTCTTTCTAGGGTGCATGCAACAGGAATCCTTGAAGTCCATGCTGACAGCACCTACTATGGAAACCATTCAGTGCCATTATCGTCACTACCCTCCATACTCTGGACCCAGCAAACAAGCAAGACCTATGTGTACGCTGTAAGAGTTGGGATAACACTATGTATGGTTGAGCCATTGCCCCACATTTTTATTTCTCAACATAAATATTTTTTATATGAATGAACCAATATTTTTTCCCTAGGTACAAAGGGCTATTTTTAAATCCCCTTTTAAAAGGGTAGGGGGAGGATTTAATGCACATAGACAGCATTACTATGAATGCAGGCTTTGCACATTGCAGACTCACTGACCTTTTAGCCTTCTGGAGTTTAACCATTTCCTGATGTCTTTTAACAGTAATTTTCTTGTTGGAAAGTCCTCTCTAAACTGATAGCATCTAAACAAGTCTCTACCTTAATTGGAAAAATTCTCCCATAAATATTTATGCTGCAGTGATTAGGCCATTTACTGAACTCAACTGCCCATTATGGGTTAAAACAGGGAGCATTGTTTTGGGTTGCCTAAAGCCTGACATGGTTTATTGGAGGGGACCCGAAGCTATAATTTCTTTAATCAAGCCTCTGACCCCAGCCCTCTGGAGTAGCCAGTAATTGTGAGGGAGAACTAACCCAAGACCACATTGACTAGAGTCAGTATTCTGAGTTGTAAATTCTGAGAGTCTAATTTGGAAGAAAAAAATAAAAAGAGTAAAGTATGTAGAAATGAGATTCCCATGTCTTTGTATGTCACACTGTGGTATACACAGAAGATTAGATACATAGATGACAGATAAATACAATTTTAAAAAGAAAAAAACTTCAAAGCAATGAGGAAGAACCCAGTTTACCACAGGGTTAACCTCCTACTGGTTCGATGTCCCTTTGTGGCTATTTGCCCTCTTTATAGTTCTAAAAGCTCTGTCACATAAAAACTCACATGGCATTTAATTTACTTTTTGCTTTCTAAAATACACCAGATTTTGTGTTCAAATAGTGGTTAAGGAAAGCCTTTTGTATTAAAATCTGTTAAGACTTCTGCTTAAACCCAAATTCTATAACTAAATAAATAATATAAATAAATCAAGCCCTAGGTGAAAATATGAATGTGGTTTTTCTTCTCAGGTGTTGAATTGGTGTTACTTATACACTTACATGTGGTCAAAGATTTTCAGGAGCTAGATGGTGGGTATGAGCACATATTTGTACCATGTGTGTATATAGATACATATGTGTGTGTTTATACAAATAAATAATTTTTCTTTATTTTATTTCCCTTTCCAGCGCAGACAATCTCTTGACTCCATTTTTGAGTCATGATTAATTCATATGTTTACAATCAAAAGGAACCTCTTCTCCCTTGGCCTTTTGACCTCCCAGCTGCAGACTCAAACCTCCATTCCTTATTTTGAGGCATGATTTAAAAGAGATACTGAAACTGAAAACATCTTTTCCTCTTTAAACTTTTTACTACCACTACCTGGCTACTGCACTCCAGATTTCTAGTTCAAAAAGGAATTCTAAAGTCAAAAATTATAATGGTTCATTAAACTATAAATCATCTTTCCTCTTTGTTTAAACTTGAATTTCACTGAGGCCTCCACATTTTCCTTAACCATTATGGAGCTTGACAATACCAATATCTTTTAATGGCTTCTCCTGTCCTATTTTTCATTAGGAAGCACTTGCAAATACTGTCAGTACATAAGAAAAATGCATGACAAAACTGGCTTCTGGCCCATGCTAACATTAAGAGCATACAATGCTGAGGTCTCATCAGAGTCAGTTTCTGAACCTTGTGAAAGAAATCAAAGCAGTTTGGTTTTCCAATCAATAAGAATCATAAGTGATGTGGCTTCAGAGCCCTATAGCTTTAGGAATCTATACTGTGAATGGCATTTTTAAAGACTATACACAGGGGCCTAGGTTAGACATCTGAGCCAGACAGGTTGTTACAATAACCATTCAAATGACTTTTTACATAATAAGAGTATCTTGTATGGATGCTTTTAGATACACAGATGATACCTAATTGTTTCAGCTTCATTCATGTAACATGTGAACAATCCTCCAAGGAGCTTGGAACACAAAGAAAGGGTTAATTTCTTTTACACCAAACAGATTACCTCAAATTTAATTCAGAAAATCTCTTTGAAGAAATTTATACTAGGGATCTAATTTTTCCTGTTAAATTATTCATTCCTTCTTCTGGGCAAGAGATAATTCCTTATTATTATCTCCGTCAGAGTGATGGATGTTACAGAAACAGTCATTATGTTGCAAACTGTACACATGTTTTAAAGGGTTAAAATTATGACCAAACAAGCAAGCAAACAAACAAACAAAAACAATAGATGTGATTGTACAGGTCTCCCTATAAGAGTAACTCAGGAGCAGGGGACAGATAGATTTCCTGTTAAAGAATGAAAATGTCTCTAGGAGAAAAAAAAAAAGTGGGGAAAAAGATCTGTCCCTGTGGTGACAAAGGGTGTCTGTGGATAGTAGCATTTCTCAGTTGCTCTGATCACAGCACTCCTGAGCTACCCTTCATCCCACCCAGAGCTGTTTCCTTAACAGAGAGCACAGTGTGCTCTGTGGCCACAGATGGCCCTTTTCCTCTTAGCCAGCAAACTCAAAAGTACATGCCATTGATTAAAAGCAAACTGGACAATGAAACTAGAACCAGCCCAGGAAAAGTTCAGCACCTATCAGTAAATGAGCTTTTTTTTAAAAATTATTTTCATAACAATGACAGCTCATTATTGTTCACTTCCTAAGGGCTCTTCACAGTTCGAAGTGTATTTCTTTAAGCCTCTCGACAACCACTTTTACTCTCTTTTTATATTTTTAAATATGAAAAAAACCTGAGAAACAGACAAGTTAATTCAATCGTCCATGGTCACATAGTTGGTCAATGGAAGAGCTAGCATTTGAACTTAGATAACATAGTTCCAGACTCTATGCTCTTGGTTCCGGAACCCATTATCTTAACAGCATGCACTGTCGTCATCCTTAAAAATAATTGGGCTCTAATAATATTCAAAGAGGCATGCTGAGACACACTATTCAAATCTAAGTTTAGGAAGGAAGTGTTCTGTTGGTTCTGACTATTCCTGAGTTCATAGAAGGCATCACTGTGGGAGGAAGAGTGCTGTATCAGTACAGACAATTTCCAGATGCTGTCTATGAACTCCATTGAAGGAGATCATAACATATTATGCCCATATATGTCACTTTGGCTCACAGATTATTTTGAGCTAAAGGCAACTGAGAAACAGCAGATGCAGAAAGGGGTCTCTGCTCTCCTCCTTTCTATCTACCATTGGGGCATACATTTCCCACAAGAAACATGCCTTCTTTGTTCCAGGAAGAGAAAAACATTTATATCACCAGAGATGGGAAACTGATGCAAAGATGCATCTGTATAAACAAAGCTAATTTTTTTTGGAGACAGGGTCTCACTCTGTCACCCAGGCTGGAGTATAGTGACACATTTACTGCTCACTACAGCCTTGATCACCTGGGCTAAAGCCATTCTCCTGCCTCAACCTCCCAAGTAGCTAGGACTCCAGGCATGCACCACCACACCTAGCTAATTTTTTTTAAAATTTTAAATAGAGATAGGGTCTCGCTATGTTGCCCAGGCTGGTCATGAACTCTTGGGCTCAAGTGATAATCTCACCTTGGCCTTCCAAAGTGCTGGGATTGCAGGCATGAACCATTGTGCCTAACTAAACAAATCTTATTAAAACAACCCTTGTCTTCCATTAGTTGCCCTTCATATATTTCTTAGTCACTTTCCCACAATTTACTGCCCCTAAACCAAACCTTTTTTTCCTTCATCTTATCATATCTCCACAATTTATCATTCTTTGTTAAAATGGTATGTAAGCCCCCAAGTCTAACTGCTACTTTGGGGTTTTCACTTCTTTCAAGGAAGCCCTCCCTGCCACATAAAAACATTAATATCAAATAAAATTTTTATGCTTTATTTCTTCTGTTAATCTGGTTTTTCTCAGCTTAATTTGTAGGCCCCAGCCATAGAATCTAAGACGGTACAGGAAACGTCTTTGTTCCCCTACTCTGTCATCACTCATATTTCACTTTCTTTGCTCCCTCATCCCAACTGACCTTGCTTTTCAAAGTCAGTGCGACATTTAGTTTCTTGATCCTTCCTGTTCTCTCAGGGTATTACCTCTCTCCACCACTCTGTGAACACCCAGTGTAATCTCCTTAGGCAATTGTTTATAAGGCTTTCTCCTCCTAGGGCCCTATGTGCCATACTCTTGACCTTATGCTATACCCTATACAGCAATGAACACCAATCCTCAAATCTGGGTAAACCTAACCCTGTGCTTTCTTACTTTAAGTCCCATATTGTGAGCTCCCTGAACAAATAATTCACGACTGCTTCAGACATCCGAACCTTGGCCACGTCTTTGGTTCATCCTCCTTTAATTTATCCATATCAGCTGGTTCTATTTGGTAGTAGTAGCTGATCCTACCATTTAGTTTTATGTTTTCTTATTTTCCACTAGCAATCGAGCATCTAATCTATGCCAGGAATTGAGACTCTGAAAGATTTGGTAAAGTTGTACACCATCACACAGCTAATAGGGTCAGGCCAGGATTCACATCCCAGTCTGTTCACACAGGCCAGGCTTCCAGAGTAGAGTCTTATCACGCATGGCTATATATATATATATATATATATATATATATATATATATATATACACACACACACACAAAGGATCCCAAAGCAAGTGAACTCATTCAGCTGGAGCTCAACCAAAGAAACAGCCCTGTTTCATTGCTAGAGGAAAGCTAGCTCCGTCAGACTAATAGAAAGACAGCACAGCACACAAAAAACCATATATACTGTACGTTATGGGATACTTAGGGGATTTTTTAAAGTAATTTTGATTGCATGTGACTTTTACTTTATGTGCTGACATTTGACTCTAACCCCCAGTAGTGTGCTACTTCATGGCACTGCTGCTATTTTAATTTCTGTGTTCCCAGCTTTTTCAAACCATAGCTATTTCTCAGTGCTGTTAAGCCACTCTGGTCTACCTTTACCTCAAGAAATGATCTCAACGTTACCAAACTGCAGGGCCAAATCACCCAAAATGAACCCCACTACTTCCTGCCACCCAAACGTTGAATCACCTCCTTCACATTTTCTTTTTCCTAATTCCAAAGGAAAACATTTCCTTCCTCCCTACCTCTCCTTTTGGCAACTACCAACACCTCCTATTTTCTACTATATCTTGCTCTTTTTCTGCTTAACTGCTCTCCTAATTCCACTCCATTTATGCTACAAGCATTCTAAAATCTCACTACAGCCAGCCAAGAACTCTGCTGCTGCTTTTTTTTTTTTTTTTTAAACAGGGTCTCACTCTGTCACACAGGCTGGAGTGAAGTGGCGCGATCTCGGCTCACCACAACCTCCACCACCCGATTCTCCTGCCTCAGCCTCCCCCGTAGCTAGGATTACAGAACTGTGCCACCATGCCCAGCTAATTTTTATGTCTTTAGTAGAGGTGGGATTTCACCATATTGGCCAGACTGGTCTCGAACTCCTGACCTCAGTTGATCCACCCACCTCAGCCCCTCAGAGTGCTGAGATTACAGGCATGAGCCACCATGCCCAGCCTGCTATGTTTTAATTTAATGTTTAGAGAGTGTATTTCAGTCAGACTGCTTATATATAATTCCTGACTTTACCACTTTGCTGTGTGATCTTCATCTCTCTGTGCCTTAGTTTTTGTACCTATGAAATGCATGTAACACAAGTATCTATTTCAGGGAGTGGTGAGGATTAATTTAGGTAATTTATTTAAAGCTCTAACAAACACCCAATAGATGTCAGCAATCTTTACCAGTTTGACTCCATTTTCCTCCAGTCTACTATTCTCTCCTTAACTTTCCCTCCTTTTTTTTTCTTTTGAGACAGGGTCTCACTTTGTCACCCAGGCTGGAGTGCAGTGGTGCAATCATGGCTCACTGCAACCTTGAACTCCTGGGCTCACGTTATTCTCCCACTCAGCCTCCCAAAGTGCTGGAATTATAGGTGTGAGCCACTGTGACTGGCCCCAGCTTCTTAAAAGATTAGCAGACACTAGGTATTTGCACTTTTTCATCCTTCTCTACTCTCATCTTTGCCATGTGGGATTAGGTCATGCTACTTTGAAGACATTTCTCTCAGAAATTGCTGCTGATTTGTTATATCACCAAAGCGAATTATGCCCAAGCCCTTATTTTGCTTCTGAGTCCAGTCCACATTTCCAGCATCAGCAATACATCCCCGGGTTCTTCCACCTCACAGGTAACTTGAAGTCAACATGTCTAACTCAGGGCTCAACCTTCCCTGCACACTTATTCTTTCATTTTCATTCCTCATCTTGGTTATTATGGCATAATATTCCATTGTATGAATACAGCACATTTATCTATTGTTTTGATGATAGATATTTGGATTGTTTCTAGTTTGGGCTATTATAATTAGTGCTGCTATGAATATTCATATATATATGGTACCAACTGACATTCCCACCAGCACTATATAAATTTTTTACTGTTCCATATTCTTGCCAAACATGAACCTTTACATTTTTGTCATCTGGAGGGTGTGTTAGTGGCATCATTATTTGCACCACCCTGATTATTAGAATTTGAGCATTTTTTTAATGCTTATGGTCCCATCCTTTCACTTTCAACCTCTCTGAGTTCTTTTGTTTTAGGTGTGCCGTTTGAATTCAATATATAACTAAATTGAGTTCCTTAACCAGTCTGGCAATTTGGTCTTTTAACTAAAAAATGTAGCCCATATGTATTTGTTGTAATTACTGACATATTTTAATTCATTTATACTTTCTTATTTTGTGTTTCCTAAACTTTCTCCCTCTTCTGTTTGTTTCTTTTTATCTTCGTTCTTGCATACTTTTGTGCTGGTTTTTCTCATTCTGGATTCTGCCCACAACTCATTTAGAATTATAAACTTTTCCTTTATTATTTTAATCATGAATATAGGAATTTAACATGCACATTTAATTTTAAAAAGTCTAAAGCCAGTAAGATATATTTACCAAAGTATTTTAGTTACATCATTATTATAACAACAAAATTAGACATTGTTGTTATTGTTTATACAAATTGTTTTTTTCATCTTTCTCACATAGTTAGGGTATATTATTGATCAAAATCCATCAGTATTGTTTGTCTGAAAAAAACTTCAATGTTATTTTCC
This sequence comes from Homo sapiens, assembly GCF_000001405.40. Lineage (NCBI taxonomy): Eukaryota > Metazoa > Chordata > Mammalia > Primates > Hominidae > Homo > Homo sapiens. The sequence goes on along the minus strand of NC_000012.12, from coordinate 42,972,125 downwards.
AGCTTGAAGCATAATTTTGCTGGGCACACACTACTAGGTTGACGAGTATTTTCTCTACAGTCTGAAGACAGTTTTTGGTGTTCTTTTAGTTTATATTGTTGTTTCTGACAAGTTAGATGGCAATTTGACTATTATTCTTCCATAGATAACAATGTGTTTTTTCTCTCTAGCTATTTGGGGTTGGGGAAGGAGGGGTCTTAGGTATTAAGAAATTTTACTACAAAGCGTCTTGATGTGGTTTTCATTTTATTTGACTTGTTTGGAACTTCTGGATTTCCTGTTTCCAAGGATTCCAAGGGATTCATGTTCTTATATAATTTTTTGATAATTTTCAGATCTTAACACTTCAAATAGTGTCTCTCTGCAATACCTCTGCTTTTCATCTAGAACCCAATTAGACATTTGTTATATTGCCTCACTGGCATTTTTCATGTTTCTTAATTTCTCTTTTATATTGCTTTTATCTCTTTTATAGTGTTTTATCTGTTTCTCTTATTACATTCTAGATTTCTTCAGATATATTCCTGTTCACTAATTTTCTCTTCAGCTTTGTCTGATCTGTTTAACCTATTCATTTTTTTATTTCAATTATATTTATTTCTACAATTTCTATTTGAGTCTTTTAAAATCTGCCTATTCATTTTTAAAATCTTATTCTATACTCATACCTTATTATTTCTTTAAACACATTAAATATAATAATTCAATAATTACAATATATAATATCTTTGTGAGTCTGAGTCTGCCATTTCTATTTTTTAGTCTGTTAGGTTGTTTTGGTTTCTTTGGCTTCATTTTTGCTGATTTGTGTTCATGGTTGCTTCTTTCCTTGTGTTATACAATTTTGTAATCATGAGTATATGTTCAAAAAACTTTATCTATGGGAATTTTTGAGTCCTAAGTTTAAGACATGTTATTCCAGAGAGATTTATATTTGCTTCTGCCAAGCATCTTGGGAGACTGCCAACCAAGGGTCACTTTATAATAAATTCTAAGCTTAAGGTATCTCAAACACAAGAGTAGTATAAACTTGGGCCTCAAATCTCTGAGGTGGCCGGCACAGGGAAGAATTTTTTCTTCCACTAGGAGTAGAAGTCAAGGTAGGGATACTTTTAGTTCACTATTTCACCAACAGTGTCATGTGGTGGGTCAAAGCTTTTCACCTCTGATATCTATGCCGACACGGTCTTAGTCTTTGCTTCTTGGCCCCAATTTAATAACAAAACCAAAGCTCTGAGTTATGGGCAAATGGCAGGTGACTTTAGGAAAATGGGGGATTTTCACCACTGGCTTACTTCTATGGATTTTTACTTTTGCATTATTTTTCGCTTCATACAAATTTGTTTCCAGGTCAGCAATGCATTTAAAAATAAATATTAAATATTTTACTGAGCATTTTTAGGTAGATGAGGGTTTTAGGATTTCCAGTCTGCTATAATGCTTGATATAGAAGTCACCTTTGAGCATGGAGTACTTTTTCACAGTTAGTTTTTAGGAACCTAAAATAGATATCATTATATATTATTTGATGTGTGTGTGTGTGTGTGTGTGTGTGTGTGTATGCCTTTCATAAGTGCATGTTAAGTTCCTGGAGGAAATGAAACTTTTCTTTTTTCAGTGTTTATCTTTCCCAGATACAGGGTAAGGCTTCGCCTTTGGTCAGCACTCCATAAATGAATGATTTGATGGTCTTATTCTCTTCCCTGGGCTCCCATAGAAACTATGTCTATCAAGGAATAATTATTACACTGCAGCAAATTGTGTTTCTCCCTACCCAGCAGATTAGAATTTCTTACTGGCAGTCATCTTATTTTATTGTCTTTGCAGATTTAGAGCTTAGTTTAGAGTTTGGCCCATAATAAACACTAAATAAAAGTTGACTCAAAGAAATCATAGCCTTAGTCTCTGAGACTGGCATGTTAGGCAGGAGAAAGCAACCGTATTCATTTCAAGAATGATACTGATTTCAGTGATTCGGATGGGCTGGGAAAAGCCTGCCAAAGAGGAGACAGAGGAAACTGAGTCAGGCTTGATAGTCTCTGTTTTTATGCTTTCTGGGAGTTTTTACTTTAGGGGCCAGACAGGAAGGAAGAATGGAAAAAGACAAAAAAAACTTCCTTGAACAAAAATCAAAACTTTTTTCTTCCTGCAGTAGTCGCCAATGAATTGCCCAAAAGGAAGATCTTATCCTTCTTCCTTCCACTCATTTTACGGAAACATATGTTAAATACTTAGCATCTTTGATTATTTTAAGCTCTTTAAATGAGCTTAAGTTGGCAAAGTTGAAATAATAGAGTATGTGGCAGCATGGTGGTTTCCTATAAAACCCCATAAATAGGTATTCTAATCTGAGATCTTCTGTATATCCTGGAAAATCTTCCTAAATGAGGACTGTGAGCACCTTGCAAGTCCTCAGACTTCATCAGCTCTTATTTTTACCTGCTGGAGGTCATTTCAGTCCATGGAATCATGGCTAGGGCCTATTCTGACAGAGCCATCCTGATTCCTAATGAGGCTATCTTGAGTTTCACTCTGGGGAGTCCAGACTGCTGGAACGGAGACCACTCCCTTTTCCGGAATGCTCCCTTTGGACATATCAGCTCCAGCATGTAGCCTGCGGCAGCCAAACATGTAACTTGCTGGGAATTCGGTAATACTTTCCTTGACCTGTTGGCTTTAACGTTTGCTTTGATGCCCTTTGCCTTTTATTCCTTCATCTGTTCCAGAAGGTCCACCACATAGCCTGACTTCACTTTTGTTCTTTGTTCTGTAATTCTCTATCTCTGAAACAGAAATAACCATCTTTCCTGTGACCTGCCTCCAAGAGATAATGTGAAGCAGTGCTTTGAACACATCAGAAGAAACTATGCTAAATAATTTCAAAAGTAAAGGGATTAGTCATTTTTTTTCTTAAAATTCTTATGGATTGTCATAAAACATACTGATATAGCCTAACAATCCCTGTTCTGTAAAGCCCAAAAACATGAGAAAGTAAGAACTTGATATCAAACTTCAATTCCAATGTCACTTCCTCCAGGAAAATTTTCTGACCCCTCTCACTCTCTAAATCTAATACCTGCTGTTTAAAATTATAAATGTTGGCATTTATAAAACTCTTACTATAAGCCAGACACAGTGTTAATGCTTTATATGCAAAGCCATGTTTCCATTCATTTATTTCCTATTAAATCTAAATATTTAAAGTATATCCTCCTTGCCAAGCTTTGTGGTGAAATGAGTTTACGGTGATGAAAAAGATATGATCCTCACCCTCTTGAGCTACAGTCTAGGGAGGAAGATAAATATTGTATATACACAGAAGAAGATAGAATTAAAATTATTACAAGTACTGTGTAAGAAAACAACAGGCAGGTAGGAAAGAAAACAGAAACGTGAATAGAACTGATATACACTTTGAGATCAGGAGAAAGATGCTTGAGCTGTGACCTGTGAAAAGATATTTAGGCTGAAATCTCAGAGATGAGTCACCATTAGTTGGTGGGAGTTGGGGTATTAGAGCATTTCAGAAAAGGAGTCAGCATGTTCTAAGGCCCAAAGTAGGGAAGACTTGGTATATTACAGGACATAGAGAAAGTGTGGCTGGTGTGTAACAAGTAAAGGAGAGGGTGAGAAAGATGAGATTGATGAGAGGGGCAGAGACTGGAATCTAGCATGATTGCAAGGAGTTTTTATTTTATTCTAAGTGATTTCATAATAAGTATATCTCATAAAATCAAAACACCTTTTGAGATGAATACTACTGTTGTCTTCACTTTACAGATAAGGAGACTGAGAGACAACGTAATTTGCCTAACATCACACAGCTAGTGAGGGGTATAGGTAGTATTAGAAACCAGACTTCAAATACCCATGTTTGAGCTCTTAAAAAAATTACGCTGAACCACCTCTATATGGCAAGAGGATCTTATGCAAATCACCATTATAACATGTACCGTCATTGTATTTCAGTACTTATATCACATAATAGCACTATGTTTTAACTGATTACTTATCTTTATCTTTCATGTAAAAGCACTATGTTTTAAATGATTATTTATCCTTATCTTCCTGCGGACTGAAAGCTCCCTAAAAGCAGGAACCAGATCTTATTTGACACACTGCCTTGAACATAGCAGGGCCATACTCTCATTGCATGAATGAACACTCAAGTATGTAAAGTAGGACAGACATTGAGCTAATCAAATCTATGTCTCTAAGGCTTATCCTTTAAAAAAATGTTTAGGGGAACAAAGAAGATAAAGTCAGGAAAGGCTTTTTAGACAATCTGTTATGAATATCTGTAAAATATTAAATATAATTTAACCTGTTCTTTGTTTTCTTCATGGAGGTCATGGAGAATGATTTTCTTATTCTCATGAATAGATTTTTAAAAAGTGATATGGTTTCAGGGCACTTTAACAAGAAACCAACACATTTTAAAGTGATTTTTTGTGTTTTTCTTTCAAGGTACTGTTTCACCCCATGGAAGGAGTCTGACCATAATGGTCGCAACCAATGCTAGAAAATAAAAACTCAAATTGTACTTTATAAAGCTAGTTTTTTCTAGCACTATTAATAGCGATTAAGTAAACATATTATAACCATATTGCCATTTACTGGAGCCATACTAAATGCTCTCTAGATAATTCTGCATTCATTTATTTTATTAATAAATTTAATTAAATTTTTATTGAGTGATTATTATGTGCCAGGCACTCTTAGTCTCAATCATAGCTAACAAGGAGTCGATACACTCTGAAAATTTCATGCTGTTCTTGAACAAAGGATTTTATTAAGCCGCAGGAATTAACCAATATGATATTCATTCATCAAGTCATGATGACCTGTGACAAAATGGGCTCAGAGTATCCCAGAATGGAAAAATTCCAGAAAGATTCTGCCACAAGTAACTTTCTGTGTTCCTCAGCCAATGTCTCAGGAGATTCTCTTCCAGGACTTCAAACTTGGCTCTGTGCTGCTTTCTTCCTTTCCTCCCCGGTGGCCCTGAGTAGGGGGTGTTGAAAAAAGCCTAAGCTCAGAGAGGCAGTGAGGGCAGAAAATTTATTTTATTACATGTCATGAAATGTAAATATGTATATTCATTACTCCAGTTAACTTGGAGCAACTTATTACAAGGTATTATATTTTCCTTCTATTTCTCACCTCATTCCTGACCCCAGAATGAAATGGAGAACTGGAGATTTATTCTCTCATTCTCTCTCTCTCTCTCACACACACACACACGCACACACACACACACGCACGCACACACACACACGCGCGCGCGCACACACACACACACACACTCCTTCTATCAGTGAGGAGGCCAGGCCACCTCTTCGCAGTTTCTCCCTGTGTTGACCTCAAGGTTAAGTCTCACTACCCCTCAAACAGCTTCCTAACTTCTTGAGCTGGAGTACCTTTCAGACTCTCCAGAACTCCTCCTTCTATATATGGCTCCCTTTCCTAGATAATTTCTCTCTACCAAGGCATGTCCTTACACACCTATTCCTTTGATTTCCTGTGATCACATTTCTAGCTGATTTGCCTCTGCTCTGCTGTTGTATTCCTTTCTGAATCCTGCTTTGGTGACTCAAACACACAACAAACTATTTTGTTGTTTGACAATTTTTTTTTCTGAGGCCTTGCCCTAAATCCCAGCTACCAATTCTGAGATGATGTAGCAATCATATTTACATGCCTGACCTCTACATATACTAAGACCCCACATCTACATGTAATAAATAGCCATGGTTTCTTTATAATAAAATATACATACACAGTCTGTATATACAGTAACCTCCTCAATAGATTGGAGAGAGTTGTAAGTCTTCATCTGGACTTGAAAAACACATGACAGAAACTGCCAATTACCTGCTCATTTCATATACTTGGGGTTAGAATATGCCCAAATAAAAATTACCTTTCCCAGCCTTTCCTATAGAGGGAATATTGCCAATATGAAAACAGGAGCACTTACATGTCTTTGGGCAGCACTTCCAGAAGAACATGTTTTGCCCTCCTGTTCCTTCCCATCTCCCTTCCTGCTATTTAAGCACCTGAAGCACAGATGGTGTGACTGAGCAGCCATCCTGTGACCTTGAGAGTGTCAGTCTTCTAAGATTTTGGCAGGGCAGAAGGACAGGAAGAGTGTGAGTCCCTGGAGCTTCATGAGGCAACCACAAGGGCCCTGGACTGCCTACCACAGGACTACATTTATTTAAGCCAATGTAGTCAAAGCTTAAATGAAATTCCCTGTGTGTGCGTGTGTGTGTGTGTGTGTGTGTGTGTGCGTGTGTGTGATTCCTAATTGATACATGTATGGGTATGTGTCTCTTTGCATGCAAACAAACATATTTATTGTTATATGGCCTGAGCACTTTATGTACTTTTTAAGGATTACATGAAAAAAATAATCATAAAATACTTGGCACAGAATATGACACAGAGCAAGGAATCTATAAACATTAACTACTATTTCCTTTAATCTTCTCAACACCCGCAGGAAGCATGTAGTATCATTCTCATGTTACAGGGGAGGAAATGGAGTCTTAAAGGGGGTAAGTACTAAGACTTGATTCATGCAATTAGCAAGCAGCAGAGTCAGGATTTGAACCCAAGTCTACCTAATTCTAGAACTCCAAGTCCTAAAGGCAAGGTACACTGCCTCATTCAGCAAGGCACGGAATCTCAGTGAAGAGAGGCCAAGCAGCCATCCTGTGTGCCGAGGAGGGGGTTTCTGTAACAAGGAGTCAGAGGAGAGAACATGAGTTGAGCCTGAAGGTCCCCATGGCGAAGTCTCAGGTCTGCCACTTGCTGGCTTTGTCATCTTGGACAAGTCATCTCTGCTCCCTAGGCCACATTTCTTTCAACTTTACAGTGAAGAGATTGACTTGATTCTCTCTATGGTTCTTTCCAAATCTAGAATGTCATCAATTAATGATTCTCTATAGTCAGTTTATTGAAATAGTACTGTAAAACAAAACCTGATTTTGAGGTCTGAATAATATATTTTGGTCTCTGTGAAGTCCTTTTTTCTAGATACTTTTTGATTCCCCTTTTGTCTTCTGATAACGTAGACATTTTATCAGTCTCCCATAAGCTTTTAGAAAGAATTGCCTGTATTCATGTATAGTAGGAATAAACAATGTGGGGACCAAAGGAAATGAGCAGAGAGGCAAGAGGTAGAAAGGGCTTCACGTTTAGGAGATGGGGTAAAAACAGAGAAGCAGCATATTGCCATAGAGGTACACAGTGTTGCTGTGTTTTGAGTTCTGCCTTAGTGTCTTCTTGGTTACTTTTGTACTCTTGCAGGCAGTTGCCAAAAGATGAGCCGTCAACTGCAGTAGGGCAGATAGAATTTTGAATTAGAGAGGCCTGGGTCTCAATTTTAACCCTCCCATTGCTAGCTTAGTGACCTTAGACTTTACCCATCCATTTGCTGTGTCACTATAAATAAGTTATTCGACTTCAGTTGCTCATTTACAACCTGAGGTTAGCAACAGTCTTCACTTCTAACGATTGTTGTCTAGTGTATATAGAAGCTTAGAACAGTGCCAGTATGTAGAAGCTTAGAACAGTAGACTCTACACAAAAGTTAAGTTGTATGAGCATAAGTCCTATTTGGGCGTTGAGCAAATCTACAAATTCAAAGTTTAAAGAGTATATGATTGCTGTCATATTTTATGTGGCCAGAGGAGTCTTTGCTAGCATTTCACAAATGCCCCTTGCTAAATTAGCTAAAACTTCTGAGACAGGCATCACAGGCTTCAAGATTTGTAGAGTCTAGTCTGGTAGCAGTTTTGTGGTTTTCTTTTTAATGATTATTTTAGTAGTAGCTTGTTGTTTGCTTAGTTCTGAAAAGCAAACTCCACTCAAAGACTCACTGTTATACCGTTCAAATTTATTTTAACATAATTTGTAGAAAGACATGAGTTGGGAATTTGTCAAAGAAACTTGCAGAGTCTAGGCAGGGGCACTTCACTTGGAAAGTGTTAGCCAAGATCCAGATAAGCCAGATGGCCTCAAGTTCAAATTATAACATTTTCTTCTCTTCTGTAGCTTTGAAATATCTAAATATTTGGATTAAATACATCAGGATTACTATAAGCACGAAATACTGATCCATCGTGCTTAACAGTGAGAATTGTTGCCATCCCTATATGTTTCATATCACATAATTTAAATGTAATGAAAGGTAAATTTTTAGAAACTGAACCTTTTAGAAAGAAATCTACAGGGTGCTTTCACCTAGGCTATTTCTTTTGATGGGCTACTGGGCAGCTGTTAGTTTCAAATAAACTCAATACTAGATTTGCAACAGATGTTCCTAAAACGGAACAAATAAGAGAATTACTGAATTTCTTACAAAGACAGATTAAACCTGAAAAAATAATTGAGATCTAGCAAGGCAGTCATTAACATGAGGAATGAAATTAAGCATGTTACAAAGAATAATTCAAATGTTTCTCAACTAAGAGGCAAGAGGAAGAGCTCTTTAGTCAGTTTTGTTTTTCTTTATTCATCCGTTCAACAGACACTTATTACTGAGTTTCATTTGGTGCTATTCCAATTTGTTGCCGTCTTCTTAAATTATACACATGGGAATGTTAAAACTACAGCTTGTCTGCACTAATGCATTTTATTAAGTAAAATTTCACCATGCCATGGAATCATCATTGCAGAAGTTCATGGACTCACAGCCACAATTTCTTTAAGGTTTTCTCATTTCCATATAGCAGATTCTTTTTTTTTGTATAATGTTTCAACATTACTTTAATAGCAAAATCTCAAAATAGTGAAATAGCAAAATTCACTAATAGCAATTTATGAATAGCAATTCACTAAGCAAAATTCACAAAATAGTGAAATAGCAAAATCTCAAAATAATAGACACTAGGTATCTGAGAGTAGAAGAAACTGAGATTTCTCTTTTACTTTATCCAACTGTATTTAAATTTCTCATTTACTTGTCTATAACCTCCAGCAGATTGTAAACCTCCATAGCCCAGTGACCTTCTTTGCTCTTTCAATATTGTCATCTCAGTTCTTAACATAACAGCTGGCATTGAGGGAACACTTAAAAGAAGAAGAAATATTTGCTGAAAATTATAGAGGAACACAGGCAGGTATAAAGGCAGACAATAACTCATTTTCTTCTCTGCTCATTTGCCGGGTGATAGACACCAGTTGTATACAAATGATGGAAAGGGCTCTAAGGGTTATAGTTTAATTAATTTAATTTAGTTAACTCTGTATCTAGTGTAGTTCTCAATTTTTTTGTCCTAAATGCAAAGAAGACACACCTATTCTTACCTACCACTTGCCTCTAAAACAAAAACCTAAACTATTAACTCACTAAATAAACATATAAAAAAGGCCCAGATGTAACTAATCACCTATTGCTAATGTAAAACAAAACTGAAATTTGTCTTCTTTTTATCATTTCTGGGCCAAATGGTTTCAATATGTAAAATGCATAAAACAATGCCTGGCAGATAGTAAGCACTGATATGTATTTGTTATCATTACCAATCTCATCATCATTACTTCTGTATCTTAACTGACCCTTCTGGCTGTTTAGATAAAACCCCAATTCTATCTGGAGCCCTAACAACAGTACACCAACCCACGTTCCACCATGAAACTCTCTTCCACGAGGCAAGGTTTATCAGATAAGACTGCATGGATAAAAAGCCAAAAAAAAAAAAAAAGTCTGACTTTCTATTACTCTTTCAGGAGAGGACCAGGTCACATCTCTTATTGCCACAAGAACCACTAAAATATCCTGGCTACTGGAAGTTGCTTTAGGGAGTGAAATGGGGGCTGAGAGTGGAAATGGTGCTGCAGAAAGTATAGAAGACAATCTAATAGAATTCTATGTGTTTTCTAATTATATCAATGAACTGATTGCAATACCTGGTTTATTCATTGCAAAAAAAAAAAGAGTGTTTTATGGCTAGAGCATGAGATAGAGCTGAAAAGAATGAGATAAAGTCATACTCATTTATTCCACTTCCTTTGAGTTTCTAGAGAAAACTTCGAATTTAAAAAGTATGGTGAACTAAATATTTTCAATAGCCCTTGAACAATAAGATCCTAAATGCTGAATCAAATATAAAATTTTATTTTAAATGCATTGCTGGGAATATATGAAAACAAGAAAAATCAAGCTCCTACCCTTCCCAGGCCCAAAATATGGAGAAAACAAACCGAAAAAGGTAAGGATACCCTGAGACACAATGCCTTTCCTAGAAATGAGAGATAAGAGTCTTTATTCTGGGCCAGTGCCTTTCAAAATAAAACCTAAATAGAAAATTCATAGATTATGAAAGACATCTCAGAATTAATAAAAAATAAGAATCACTAGAATGCTTTCGCTTGTTTTATCTCTGCAAGTCTCTCAATATTTATTGCATCATCCAATACTCTGAAAATTGAGAGTATGTGTTGGGTAGATTAACTGTTTGTACAAAGCTCAATGGAATGTTAAAGGAACAAAGATCGTGCCTACAGGTGTGGTTGATGACATACCACCAAGAAAATGTAGAGGTTAAGAACTCAAAATTCTTGGGAGCTTGTTTTTGCCAAGGAATGTGGGCGCAGTATTTGGAACTGCCAAGTTATGCAGCTGAGAGGTCTGAGGTTGACTTCTAGTTCAGTGTGATAATAACCTCATAATAAAATCCCAGGTTTTATCTATGAGACTCAGAATGCTTATGGATAACCAAATGCAAGCCACTTAAGGTTTCCCTTTACCTCTTAACAAAGTGAGCTTTCATCCAATTTGCATACCTCTATTTTAACAACGTAAAGAGCTTCACAAAATCAATTGCTATATTTTCATTCTATTTTTACTATATTTAACATGCTGGCCACGTGAGGTGGCTCACGCCTGTAATCCCAGTACTCTGGGAGGCTGAGGTGGGTGGATCACTTGAGGTCAGGAGTTCGAGACCAGCCTGGCCAACATGGTGAAACCTCATCTCTACTAAAAATACAAAAATTAGCTGGGTGTGGTGGCGCACACCTGTAATCCCAGCTACTCAGAAGGCTGAAGCAAGAGAATCACTTGAACCCAAGAGGCGGAGGTTGTAGTGAGCCAAGATGGCACCACTGCACGCCGGCCTGGGTGACAGAATGAGACTCTGTCTCAATAAATAAATAAATGAATAAATATAGTTATATATCTATATGCTGGATTTGATTATTGATTAATTATGGATTTGATCCTTGTCTCACAACGTATTATGTAAAGGTAGCACCATTCCTTATTTCTCTTTGTACATATTTGAATCTAACATACTGATTTGCACATAAAAGATATTCAAAAAGAGTTATTGATCTAGAAGACATTAAGATGCTCTTTCTGAAATAACAGTTTGAGTCAACGTGCATCTTCAATCTAGAAATTTTCTTTCTTGTCTATCCACAGTTATCTCTTACTTTCTTAGTCACAGCGCTTGAGTGCATTGTGACAGTAAATGCGTTAAATTGTATCTAAAGACAGAAAGTAAAATATGAAGAGCCAATAAAATTTCAAAAGTTTAGTGAGGCACAATGGGCCCAATTCAAGAGAGAGGCTGAGCAAGTTAAAGGCTTTGTTGGGAGCAAAGTGTGCATTCATATAGCAAACTCTGGCCAAGGTAATTACCTGTTTTGGACAGGCACACTATTCCCTGGAGGCTGCTTCACTCACCCGGACTTGACTCAACTTTGGATAAGTTCCAGTATAAATATTCCCACAAAAAATCAGGCAGAGGGAAACATCTCAGTGTTTTTTAAGAATAAAGGGGTCTGACTCTCAGTTTTATATCTCTTTATTTTTGCTGATCAGCACCCAGCACACTGACCTCTGCATTACTCATCAGCATTACTGCATTACTCAGGTGCAACTGAAAGGAGACCACACTACCGCTTCCGTACCACCTTCTGAGTTCCCTGCCAAAATTTACTTCTTTTTTAACTTGGAAGTCTCAAATGTTCTCATTTAATGTGTTGATGACATCACACTTAAGGGTGGTATGGCTGGCGGGACATTAAATAAATTACACTTTATAAGGTACCTAATGTGCTAATACTGGGAGGGCTAAGTTGAGCCCCCTGCCATCAAAGTTCCTATCTGGATCTCAGAAATGAACCAAGAACCTTAGAGAAAATTCCTCCCTGTTAACTTATTAAGCATATTTCACCATTGTTCTTCAGACAAAGAGGAAAATATTAGGTTATATAGTATTTATTGTGCGTAAGACCACACACGAAAATACACACATAATCTTACTTTCTAGAAGATAAGCAGAAGAAGAGAGGTTTTCATTTCTGAATTTAAGGAGATGAGATTGAGATCTTCTATATCAGAAAGTTTAAAGTGACATTTTTGCATGTCTTAGTCCATTTAGACTGCTGTGACAAAATACCTTAGACTGAGTGGTTATAAACAACAATAATCAATTTCTCATAGAGTCTGGAAAGTCTAAGATCAAGGCACAGCCAGATGAGGAGACGGCCTCTTCTGGTTCATAGATGGCACCATCTAGCTGTGTCCTCCCAGGGTGGTGGAAGGGGCAAGGCAACTCTCTAGAGCCTGTTTTATAAGGGCACAAATCTCATTCACGAGGGTTCTGTTCTCATGACCTAATCACCTACCAAATACCCCACGTCCTAACACCATCACACTGATCATCAATCAGGTTTTAACATATTAATCTGGGGAGGACACAAACATTTAGACCATAGCATTGAATTAACTATAGATGTGTTAAGTAATTATATTAACATGGTACAAACAACTTCAGTTTAACATTGCTAGTGATTCCATGTGGATACCATGTACCTTCTTACATCATGTGATAAGGAGGACATTTCGCCTCTGTGGTATTCTTTCCAAAACCCCATAGCTCCATTCTAATCATGAGAAAAATGTCAGAAACATCTATATTGGGGGACATTACACCAGATAGTTGGCCAGTATGCCTCAAGGTCATCAAAAACAAGGAAAAACTAGGAAACAGTCACAGACCAAAGGAGACTGGAGAGACATAGCAACCAAATGTACTGTGGTATGCTGAAATGGATCCTAGAAACAAGAGACAACATTCATAGAAACACTGGTGAAATTCACACAGAATCAGGAGATTACTATTTTTAAAAACTCAGGATGGCCTTTAGTGGGGACTGTTCCAAAACAATTGGAAGTAAATAAGATAAGCATACATATAAGAAGTTTTGAGGGGGAAAACATAATACTCTTTTTTGGAATCTACTTCAGTGATCAGTTTTAGCTATCATGAGAAGCTTGGATATCTTACCTATTCATTCATTCATCCACTCATTCACTTAGCGAAATAAATAGTACCTGCCAAGAGCCAGGCCCTCCCTTGGGTGCTAGGGAGACAGTCATTAAACAAGACAAACCAGGTCCCTGCCCTCATCTATAATGTATCTCCTTTTTGGAGCCAATTTGTCTTCCTTTATCATTAGTAGAAACAGAAATATTGTTTGTTATGCTTGAGCAGCCATACAAAATACTACAGACTGGTGACTTAAACAGTAGAAATTTATTTTCTCACAGTTCTGGAAGCTGGGAAATCCAAAGATCAAAGTTCCGGCCAATTCAGTTGCTGGTGAGGGCTCTCTTCCTGGCTTGCAGACAGCTGCCTTCTCACTGTGTCCTCACATGGCTTTTCCTCAGTGCATACACACAGAGGCAGCAAGGGAGTGAGTTCTGTGGTGTCTCCTCTTATAAGGAAACTAATCCTATTGGATCAGTGCCCCACACTATGACTTTATTTAATTACTTCTTTACTCTAAATACAGCCACACTGGGGGAGAGAGCTTCAACATATGAATTGGGGAGGATACATATATTTGGTCCACAACAAATTAAAAAATATATAAGATTAACTGTTGAACAATCCAAACCTCAGGCTGAGTAAGACTTGAGTAACTCAAAAAGCAGAAGGCAGGAAATCTTAGATCCGTTCTTATTTCTGGGTTTTTTTATATATCCTGGAGAGTGTTGAGAAGTGCAGCAAAGTCTGCCTTTCACACAATTTATAGAAACTTCTGTTTCTGCTATAAGCTAGAGCCAGATAGCACAAAATTGCATAAAAATAGGAGAGAAGTCACCTGAGCATTTTTTTATGCTCAACAATAATATAAAGTTGGAATTATCATCTAATTTGAGGTTTGCTTCAATTGCCTCACTTTAAACTACACATATTCCATTTCTCAAAATTTAATTCTATTTCTAATGCTGCTTTCATTCACTGAGAGGAGAGGGAAGGAACCTAAATCTGGGTAAGGCAAATGCAACATAGATTTGGCTTATAAAAAACTTGGGCCATATCCAAATCCAGGAAAAATTAAAAGGAAAACAAAAATCAACATGAGAAAATTGAAATGCAAAGCTTACCTCTGAATCTAGAACATTCCCAGGCTGACACTGACAATATTGCCAGAAAGTTTTATCATAAAGATATGAAAAAGTTTTTACAATGGCTGTGACAGTGACCAGCATTCACACTGTATTTGCTCTAAGGTGCTCTTGTATTTCCTGAGAAATACTTTAAATTTGATAATTAATTTAATGTGATAAAGAATTTTGATGTGAATTAGTGCTGTAATCATAATAGTATTTACTATACCTTTTTTAATATATAAAAGCACTGTTTATTTGCAGTAGGATTGCCATTTACCTCATTCTTCTACATCGCTTTCCTTCTCCCTGTTAAACAGGCGGGCACAGTTCCCAGACAGCAAATTGTGGCAGCTATCTTTTTTTTCCAGTAGCATCTGGTGTTTTGGCAGAAAACTCATTGGGATAATCTTAAATATGGTTAGTTTTCTTTCCCAAATCTTTTTTTTTCCTTCAAACACTGAAAGGAGCTGAATTTTCATTATTTTCAGAACTGAGTAGAGAAGCGCTCAGGAAGCATTTTTTAAGGTAATATATCCTTAAACTCAGGAAAGAAAGTCATTCTGGGGAATAGCTAAGAAGGGAGCTCTAGTATTAATTCCTTTAAAAAATCTAATTTTCCCAGGAGCACATGAACATGAATTCTACCTTGCTCATTCTCTCTGTCCCACTCTCTAATTTTCTGTGAGAACCAAAAGCTGAAACAAAATCAATATCAATTTCCTTTGACTTTTCCAGAATAGAACTAAGAATTCCTTCTTTTTTCCCTGAAATAATTCCAACTCCCAACCTCAAAATAAGCTCCAGGTATCTTAGGGGTTCACATAAGTAATGTAGTAAACAAGGCTCAATGAAGGAGCAAACAAAGATCTCTTACTTGAAAAAAAAATAAACTGCACAAAAGCTGGATTTGCAGAGCTTCTTGGAGTTTGGTCTTTAAAATAAGCACAGAAGGCTTTCATAGAATATAATTGCATGAGAAAAATTGTGTTCTCAAAAGATTAATCTGGTTGCAGTGTGGGGAAAGATTGGAAGGGAACAGACTTAGGGCAGCAACCAATTCAAACCGATTCAAACAAATTCAAAAGTCCCAGAGGCGATTCAGAAGGCTGAGGCAAGGGAGTCACAGAAGCAGTGGAAGATGGGAGAAAAAGTGAGATACATATATTTTTTTAATAGAAGGAGAAGATGTTTCTGAGGTCAGGCCCACCCCTGCAGCTGCCTGGGTTGACAGCCCCTGCCCTTCTCCTGTGGACACCGTATGCAGAAGGCACAGTCAACATGGCCTCCACCCAGTCTCTCCCACAGGGAACGTCACACTGCCCTGATAATGTTGCCTCCTACTCTACTCCTCTAAATAGTTTTGTTTTTCTGTTAATGTTTTTAAAAAATAATGGTTTCCCTAATCCACTTTTTTCTTACAGTTTTAACTTAATTTTTATTTTTCTTCCGTTGCCTTTTTAGTTCTGACTTCCTGTTCCAAATCCTTAATCTCAAGGATTGGTCTGTTTTTAGCTTTTCATCTCACAGGCTTTAGCCTTTTAGCCTAAACCATTATAGCTTTTACTGATGTTTTAACCTTTTATCTCATTGGCTTACAGTATTTTATCTTTTGTTTTAAAATCTCATTTATTTTGTATTTTTTAACTCTTAACCTTTTATCTTCATGCAGATTTTAAATTTATTTTAGCTTTCATGTCATTCCCTTTTAGCTTACCTTTTCCCCTCTTTTTAAATTTTAACCTCCACTTAACCAACTTCCCTTTTTATTTTTCCTCATTTTTAAAAAAACTTTATATTGTTTCCTGGCTTTAGCATATGTTTATAATGAACTTCAAGTTCATTATAAAAACGCTCAAGTCCTCAAACGTCCCTAATTATGGTAGCATGGGAAGGACCCAAACCACCATAATTAGGGACAACTGAACGCTTCTTCCTCATCCTCCTTTCCATCCTCTAGCCAGCCTCCCACACGTACACCTATACAAAAAATGCCTTTCTGGTGCCCCTAATGGATTTTCTAGCCTTCGTAAGGCTGGATATTAAAAATCAAAATAAATACATAACTTATTAATTAATGAAATGGGAAACCGTATTTTCAAATCTGTGACCTCTGACATATACAACCTGTGAATTTTGGGCAAGTTAGTTGCCTGTCTAACGTCCCTGAGACTTGCCTTATGAGGAGGCAGGTGATGTTGAAACTCTGCACAGGAGAAAGCAAAGTAGATGGCCCTTGGTCATGCTGTTTGCACCACTTACAAATCTCACCTTCTTCTAATATATTTCTTTCCAGGTTTATCGTCTTCTTCTCAGCAGATTCTTAAAGTACCCTTCTTCCCCTATTCTAAAGGATGAGGATAAGCTTCCCAAAGTGGAAGTTATCACAAATAGAACTTCTAAAAACATAATCTAATGTGCTCCTACCAGCTACCTTTTTTTCTCATGATCCACATTGGAAAACCTCAGGACAATAAGAGGCCCGTTTCTCCTACATATAATGGGTGTAAGTTTCTCTCAAAAAGCTTTAGGGGCACAGCTGAGGTTGGTTTCTCTAAGCTTTTCCCCACCTTCTTAAGGAAGAAGGACTGAGTCTCCAATGGCTACATCACAAGAGCTTCACCTCTACCTCATGCACTGTCATCTCATGGAACTCCTACTGGGTCCCCATCTAAGATTCTGCTAAGAGCCACTCTCTTCTGAGAAAAAAATCCTGACCCATTGTTTTACAAGTGGATTACCTGTAACCCCTTTCCTGCCTCAGGAAGTAGCATGGCCTCCAAACTCCACTTGCTGGGTAGGAAAAGAGTCACCCTCCTCACAATTTCACTTGAGAATATTCCTTATTTTGCTGAGTGCCATGTCTCAACCTACCACAGTGACCTGGTAAAAAACAAGCAAACAAAAAACCCAGCCGACTCAACTGATGCAGGAACTGGCTAAACATGCTCTACCTCAAACAGGATACTTTTCAAAGAGTACAACCTTAAAGTTTCATGTATGTAATTTCTGTAGAAGCTACTGAAGCGATATGTCCTGCCAAAACAAGAGAGGAGACCAAGAAAGGACTACACAGTATCCAGGAAACAGGGAACCCAACCCAGGAGAATAGTGGGAGGAACCCCAGAATGGTGGCCCAGGGGAAATTTTACGGCAACCACTGGGCAGCAGGCCTGGAGAGCAAAAGCCTCAGATCAGAGCGGAAGAGTGCTCCAGTAGGGGCATCTTCCAAAAGGAGAAGCTGATGGGATTCCCGATGTAGTGGATGTATTAAGAGAATACTAACACTTCTGATAAAGATTTTGGGGAACAATTAGGGATGAGTACATAGAAAAAGAAGCAGGTATCAGAGAAGACACGTATAATGTCCAGAAAGGACAAAACCTTTTTAAGGAAAAAGCAAAACTTACCATAGAATCCTATATGCCTCATCCGTGAGTTATATTTGCATGATCCTAATAATGTGAATTCATAATACTGAATATCGATCTAACCAAAAATAATTCTATATCTATATCATAGCAGTAATTCAATGGATAATATCAATAAATGGTGATGTATGTTATCTAGAAACATGGAAGAAAACACCAAAAGAAACAGTTTAAACCGTTTAAAATAGTTGTCTCGGTGGAATAAGAACCAAGTTTGTGATGTAGAGAGGGAAAGAAGACTGCAATGTTTTGTTCAAAATAAGGGAATTGTATTAGTCCATTTTCACACTGCTGATAAAGACATACCAGAGACTGAGAAAAAAAAGAAATTTAATTGAACTTACAGTTCCACGTGGCTGGTGAGGCCTCAGAATCATGGCAGGAGGCAAAAGGCACTTCTTACATGGTGGCGGCAAGAGAAAATGAGACAGGTGCAAAAGCAGAAACCCATGATAAAACCATCAGATCTTGTGAGACTTATTCACTACCATGAGAACAGTATAGGGAAAACTGCCCCCATGATTCCAATTATCTCCCACCAGGTCCCTCCCACAACACATGGGAATTATGGGAGTACAATTCAAGATGAGATTTGGGTGGGCACACAGAGCCAAACCATATTATTCCACCCCTGGCCCCTCCAAATCTCATGTCCTCACATTTCAAAACCAATCATGCATTCCCAACAGTCTCCCAAAGTCTTAACTCATTTCAGCACTAACCCAAAAGTCCACAGTCCAAAGTCTCATCTGAGACAAGTCTCTTCCACATATGAGCCTGTAAAATCAAAAGCAAGCTAGTTACTTCCTAGATACAATGGGGGTACAGGTATTGAGTAAATACAGCCATTCCAAATGGGAGAAATTGGACAAAACAAAGGGGTTACAGGGCCCATGCAAGTCCAAAATGCAGTGGGGCTGTCAACTTTTAAAGCTCCAAAATGATCTCCTTTGACTCCAGGTCTCACATCCAGGTCATGCTGATACAACAGGTGGGTTCCCATGGTCTTGGACAGCTCCATCCCTGTGGCTTTGCAGGGCACAGCCTTCCTCTCAGCTGCTTTCAAGGGCTGGCATTAAGTGTCTGTGGCTTTTTCAGGGGAATGGTGCCAGCTGTCAGTGGATCTACCATTCTGGGCCTGGAGGACGGTGGCCCTCTTCTCACAGTTCCACTAGGCACTGCCCCAGTAGGGACTCTGTTGGGGGGCTTCAACACCACATTTCCCTTCCACACTGCCCCAGCAGAGGTTCTCCGTGAGCGCCCCACCCCTGCAGCAAACTTCTGCCTGGGCATCCAGGTGTTTCCATATATCTTCTGAAATCTAGGCAGAGGTTCCCAAACCCTGATTCTTGACTTCTGTGCACTTGCAGGCTCTGCACCATGTGGAAGCTGCCAAGGCTTGGAGCTTGCACCCTCTGAAGCCATGGCCTGAGCTCTACATTGGCCCCTTTTACCCATGGCTGGAACAGCTGGGACACAGGGCACCAAGTCTCTAGGCTGCACACAGCACAGGGACCTGGGGCCTGGCCCATGAAACCATTTCCTCCTAGGTCTCTGAGCCTGTGATGGGAGGGGTTGCTGTGAAGACCTCTGACATGCCCTGGAGACATTTTCCCCATTGTCTTGGCAATTAATATTTGGCTCCTTGTTACTTATGCAAATTTCTGCAGCTGGCTTGAATTTCTCCTCAGCAAATGGGTTTTTCTTTTCTACCACATTGTCAGGCTGCAAATTTTCTGAACTTTTATGCTCTCCTTCCCTTATAAAACTTAATGCCTATAACAGCACCCAAGTCACCTCTTGAATGCTTTGCTTCTTAGAAATTTCTTCCGCCAGATACCCTAAATCATCTCTCTCAAGTTCAAAGTTCCACAGATCTCTAGGGCAGGGGCAAAATGCTGCCAGTCTCTTTGCTAAAACATAACCAGGGTCACCTTTGCTCCAGTTCCCAACAGGTTCCTCATCTCCATCTGAGACCACCTCTCAGTCTGGACCTTATTGTCCATATTGCTATTGGGCTTTTGGTCAAAACCATTCAACAAGCCTCTAGGAAGTTCCAAACTTTCCCACATTTTCCTGTCTTCTTCTGAGCCCCCCAAACTGTTCCAATCTCTGTCACCTAGTTCCAAATTCACTTCCACAATTTTCAGGTATCTTTTCAGCAACACCCCACTCTACAGGTACCAACTTACTGTATTAGTCCGTATGATAGAGACATATAAGAGACTGGGAAGAAAAAGAGATTTAATTGAACTTACAGTTCCACGTGGTGGGGGAGGCCTCAGAATCATGGCAGGAGGTGAAAGACACTTCTTACATGGCAGTAGCAAGAGAAAATTAGGCCAATGCAAAAGTGGAAACCCCTGATAAATCCATCTGATCTCATGAGACATATTCACCACCACGAAAACAGTATGGGGAAAACTGCCCCCATGATTCAAATTATCTCCCACAGGGTCCCTCCCACAACACGAGGCAATTATGGGAATATAATTCAAGATGAGATTTGCGTGGGGACACAGCCAAACCATATCAAGAAGGTTGACAAAGTTTTTGGTAAAGTCAAACACATAGGAAGAACAATCTTCATGTTTGACAAATGAATGATTGAAGAAAACTGTGTAGTAAATATAAATTTACATATAATGTTTTGATTGAATTAAGATGTTAATGTTAAAAGTTCACAGGAATAAATAGAGTATGGTAATAATGTCTTGAAGTTAGTTTTCCATGATCTGGAAACAGTCCACCTTGGTAGCGTCATCTTCAGTCATTCCCTCTCCATACATCTTACTCCCCTCCCTTTACAAAATACCTGCCCTTCTCCTGACATCCCATAAACCTTAACACGTGTGTGCTTTGCCTATCCCACACCTACTGTCTGCAACCATGAGTCTGGGTACTCCTCATAGGCAGCCTCTCCATCACAGGCAACTATTTACACCCAGGGGCTATAATGCAGTACATGGAACTTATGTGCTAAATATGAACAGTATTGAATGAATGAACCAGGAAGTCACGATAGAGGTAAAGTGACAAGAAATACACACAGGAAATAACAAATCACCCAGCTGGCCAAAAACAACTGACCTCACACACACAACAGTGATGTTTTCTGAAAGATTTACCACTATCATGTCAACAAATTCTGGGATGATAAACATTTTCCTACATTTTTAGCAACTGACTTTTCTAAGCCTACTATGGATATAAATTTTTAAACATAGTATACTTACTTTTTTAGAACTTAAAAATATTCTTCATATGGTAAGGGTAAGAGAAAAAAATTAAAAAAGCATTAAACAGAACTTTAAAAAGTATCTTTGCAACAGACTAATTGTTACAGTTAATTTGTACGTGTACATGTGTGCAAATGTATAGTATGTGTTCTTTAACTAGCTTCCCAAAAACTCTCATGAATTGCACCATTGCACCTAGACTTGCAACTGGGCAAATGAGGTCAAGTGTATATAATGATAGCTGATTTTCAACACCTTTTAAATGAGGTTATCCATGTATGTATTGCAATCATGTAAATTTTGCCCTCTATAGTTACCAAAGGCAAGAAGGTGAGCGTTACTTTTCTGCCTATACAAACTTTACTCTGACATTTTATTAGTCAAAGTCAAAATATTTTCTACTTAAATAATTGTTTTTGTCTTACATTTACAATTTGTTCCTGGCAAAAGAAGATATACTAATTCTCTCCTAGTTTCACTTCTCCTTTGCCATTATTTTAATTGGCAGAGGCCAGGACAATGCATACCCTTAAATGTGTACTGCAGGTCTGGGCTGCAAACCCCAGACCCTTCCCACTCCTAAGGAGCTGGACTGGCTCCTTCATCCTTCGTCAACAAATAGATAAAGATCTGAGGGGGAAGTAGGTGGGAATTTTTAAAAACTAAATGGCTGGGTAGAAACAAATTCAAGGTTGTATTGATTATGAAGAGGTTTGCCTGAGCAGATCTTCAAAATATTTGCAAATTGCCCAGTACTGTATATTTATGTGGCTGAGTATTGACAATTATGTGTTTAGTCAACAAAGACTTCCTGAGAAATTTCTGTGTTCAGACATTGTGTTAGAAACCAGGATTAAAAATAATAAGATTTTCCCTTGTTCCTATGGAGTTCACAGTCTACTGAGGAAGACAAACATAAAACAGATAATCACAAATGCTTGCGGTAAGACTTATAACAGATGCATTCATGGGGCACTTAGAAGAGCAGTTAACCCAGTTTTGGAGAATAAACAAATTCTTCCAAAAGAGAATGTTTAAGTTAGGGTCTGAAAGATGAACAGGAAGTTGAAGGCAGGAATGAGGAGGTAGGTAGGAAGTTCTAGAAAAGGGGAACTTTATGTTCAAAAAACCTGAAGGCAAAAGAAAGTCATTTTTAGGGAAAATACAAGTAATTCAATATGGCTGAAGCACTGGGGGGAAGGGACAGGGAGTCCAGCTCCCTGGAGAAGGAAGCAGGTACCCGATGGTGAAGGGTGTGGGCATTCAGACTCAGTTCTGAGGGTGGCGAAGAGCCACGGCATCTTCCTGTAGGACTCATGCATGATCAGATTTGCTTTTCAAAAAACCACCCAACTCCATTGTAAAGAGCAGATGAAGCGGGGAGACAAAACAAACCAGAGCATTTTTTAGTAATCTGAAAAGAATAGAATGGAGCCCCATGATAGGGGAGAGGAGGCATGAAACTGGAGCAAGAAGAACAGATTTGCAGTATTATCAAGAAAGGAGCATTAGCTGGACTTGGTGACTGTTGCATGTGGGAGAATGAAGGGAAAGGAGGTATTCCAGAATAACTTCCAGGTTGTAGTTTGCAGATCTAGGTCTTCTCTGAGGGAGGAGTCAAGGAGGGATTTAGAGGTTCTGGGAGGTATGCAAGCAGGCATGTTTAATAGATACTCTTGTTCCTGGTCTGGGGCTCCATCCAAAGAGCTTTGGGGGTAGTAGTTAAAGATGGGAATCATCTGCATGTATTTGGCAGTTTAAGCTTCTGGTCCATTGAGGATCGGAGTTGGGGAACTGAATTATGCCCAATTCCAAGGCATTTTGTTAAATTTGTCAAGTTCCTTTCAGTAGCTCCCAGTTGTGCTTAATGTCCCTCCTAAAGTCACAATACAGATACTCAATAAAATACTTTCCCAAAACACCAACAATATTTCCTGAAGGTTTCAGATGGCATTCAGGAACAATGAACTCAAAAAATTCTCCTTAAGTACCCCTTATCTGCCAAGCATTGTGCTAGGTTCTAGGGCTACAAAAATGAATATAACTCAGGCCCTGGCTTCCCAGTGCACACAATGCAGCAGAGTCCAATGGCAATTAATAAATAATTAGAGCAATATAATTAGGATAAACAAGATGCTAAGAAAGCAAGGGGGAAAGCCTGAAACAATCAGGAAAGGACTCATGCAAGTGGAAAACTTTGAGCTGAGTCTGAGGATTGAGTTCATCAGGCAGATTAGATAAAAGGCTTAGGGCAGAGAAAAGACAAGCATCAAGGAACACAACACAATCTTGTATATTTTACATTTAGTAAAAACAGAAGGTAGTTCAGGATGCCTGGAAGAAAGAAAGGTTTAAAAGGTCACATCATAAACTGTCTTGTGTGTCATAGTAAGGAGAAGGAGAAAAGCCTGTTGGTAAGTTGAGAAGTTCCCTGTGTAAAATTGTATATGCCTGAACTAAGACAAGGACAGTGAAAATGAATGCAGATTTGAGAGAGATGAGAGAGTAGACACAGAGAAATTAGAGATATAAATTTTAGATGTATACTAAAATTATAACTGCACAGCAGCTAGGAAAAATGATTTACATTTATGTTTATTACAATAAGTTTACACTTATAGAAAGTTGGAAATGCTTGGAATTGGGTCTGGACTTTTTAAATTGATGCCAGTGAGGTCAACTACATTCTACTACAGGACCTCCTAGGGCAAGTTGGAACTAATGAACAACAATCTTACAAGGCTGCATGGTGGAGCATGAATGCATGCATGCATGCAGCATGGGCTATATGCATGGGGCCGGGCAGACCTGGGCTTGAAAATTGGCTCTACACTGACTATACAACTTTGAACTCAAATAAGGTCATAATTAAATGATACTGATGATCTTTACTCCTTTGTAACACCAGTGAGAAGGAAAGGATGTGTGTTTGTGCTTGAATGTGTGGGTGGGGGCATGAACATCTCTGTGTGTACTTTTAAGCTGGATACCACAATTATTTTTATTTCTGCAGGGAACTGTCACAGTAATGAACCAGCTTCAAGAGGCTATAACTGAGAAATGGCTCACAAAGTCTCTCCCATTATCCCCAGGTGTTTTACATTACTCAAAACCAATGTCCTTAAGTTCGCCTAGGCTGGTTTCAACAAGTGGATATTTTGACCACCTGAAAAATTGGGGTGATATTGAATATTTCCTTATCAAATAGTTTCTTAACAAAAAATAAACCAAAATCAATTGTATTCTATCTATATGCCGTAAGAAGAATAAAAAAAGCTTTTCTGAACCTATGGCAAAGAATGATCTTGAAGATCTCACTTCAGGCCACTTTTAGACAACATAAATATATTCATGTTTTACAGTTCTTTCAACAAATAGCATCAAATTCCTTTACCAGAACTTACATGTGTACTATCACCCAAACATTCTTTACCTTTCCAGTGATATGATTTGGCTGTATCCCCACCCAAATCTCATCTTGAATTGTAGCTCCCATAATTCCCACGTGTCATGGGAGGGACCTGGTTGGAGGTAATTGAATCACGGCAGTGGGTCTTTCCTGTGCTGTTCTCGTGATAGTGAATAAGTCTCACAAGATCTGATGGTTTTTATAAAGAACAGTTCCCCTGCACATGCTCTCTTGCCTGCTGCCATGTAAGATGTGACTTTGCTCTTCCTTCGCCTTCTGACATGACTCTGAGGCCTCCTCAGCCATGTGGAACTGTGAGTCAATTAAACCTCTTTCCTTTATAAGTTACCCAATCTTAGGTATGTCTTCATTAGCAGCATGAGAGCAGACTAATTCACCAAGGAATTTAACCTCATCCTGTCATTAAGATTCTGAAAAGTTACTGATACTAAAAATAAATGCATGCATGCATGCATACATATACACATACATACATTCATACAAACATACACACATACACACATTCTTCTGAATTAAGAAAGAGGTGTGCCTGTTTTGCTGCTACCAGCAGCTTCTCCTCCTCCCCGGCTTTTGCTCTCTTGGTCTTTCATCACTGAAGCTGGTGTTTACCCTGGAGCTGACATTTTAATGTCCACCCACCAGGTGTTCACAGTCCTCTCTCCCATGACACTCCTGTAGCAGATGGTGCAAATGGCCTGGCACATATATTCTGATTCATTGCAAAAACCAAACTGCCAGACTGCTGACTAGCTTGGCAAGAAAAAGAGAAAGTTGTTGCTGAAAAAACTATTATGAATTATTCTTCATGTGGTGACTTTGGACTTGTCCCTGCTTAAAGATGATTAGAATTTACTTAACTAGATTAAATAAAAGCTTTTAGAGGAGTGCCCTGTTTGCAAAGATAGCTGTAGGCAGTAGGAACTTGTCCTTACAGAGCAAGAGGCAAACAATAGGAAGGCAAAACAAAATTACATCAAATGCAAGTTGCCTTAAAAAAATTAATAAATTAAATGAGAATAGTAAAAGTTGTTTGGACTTTTTTACTTCCTGATACTATTCCAAAACTCTAATACAAAACTACTTCTTAAAAACACTATTAATAATCTGTATGATTAAATAATATTTTCCAAAAACATTTTATAAGTTAGTTACTTTATACAAAGTGTTTCTCATTTTTTGTACCCTTGGAAAGGGCAACTTTGAAAATGTTGGAATTCTACCAGGCAAATCTACACACACCCAGACACACACACAGAGAAAAATATTGAAATCTAAATGTTTTCTTTGTATAGTTAGAAACTTAGAATTAGATCTTCAATTTCCCTTTAACACTTCCATTATTTTGCTTTGCTTTTCCTTTCGGTCATTTTGAGGTCTGCCATCTCCTGGCACTTCCAATAGGATCTCTGATTCCTCCTTCTTTAGGTTCAGCCATAGGCTCTTCCTACCCTATGACTCAGTCATCAACCCCAGAGTCCTAGAATGAATCATGATGCCAGAACCAGAGATGTCTTGATTCGGTGTTTGCTCCACCCTTGGTCATATGGCCCACTCTATACCACTAGACTCCTGACTTGAGGCCCCTGCCCTCCAGAGGGAACCCTGGCCAGCCACTTTCCAGAGCAGTCTAGATTCTACAACCCATATCCCAATATACAGAGCCATTCCATGTTTCCTTGGTCCAGAGTGACCAGTACATTAAGGTCCCAGCATGCTTCCCTGCTAAGCATCAGTAGTAAAGAAAAAAAAACCTTAAAAGCAACCAATAAAAAGATAAATTACCTAAGGAGGAACAAAGGATGACAGCAGATTTCTCATCAGAAGTAATACAGAGATAATAGTGAGAAAAGAATATAGCAACATCTTTAAAGTACTGAAAGAAAAAAAAAACTGCCCATTTGGAATTCTATAAGTGTCTTTCAAAAACAAAGGTGCTTTTTCAGACATTTTCAGACACATAAAAGCTGAAAGAATGTGTCACCTGGCAATCTACACCACAAGAAATGTTAAAGGAAATCCATTTGGCATAAGAAAAATGATAACAGATGGAAATATGGATCTATATAAAGGAATGAAAAGCATTGGGTACAATAACTACAGGGTAAATATATAAGATTTTTTATTATTATTTAAATCTTTTTAAAAGATGGATGATAGTCAATAAAAAATAATAATAATGTAAAATATAGAAAAATAAAATATCTGACAAAAATATCACAAAGGTTGGAAAGGGATAAATGAAAGTAAACTATTGAAAGGGTCTTCTATAATTTATAAAGTGGTTTAATATCATTTGAAGACAGACTATGAGAAAAAAACCACTGAAATAATAAAGAGTTATAAATAAGCCAGCAAATGAGATAAAAAGATATCTTTTAAAATATTTAATTTATTCAAAAGAAGGCATAAAAAGAGAACAAAAGTAATAAAGAATAGATGAGACAAGTAGCAAGGAGATAGATTTAAACCTAATCATATCAAGAAAAACATCAAATGTAAATGGTCTGAATATCCCAATTCAAGGTTAGAGATTGTCAGCTTAAACAAGCAAACAAAAAAGACCGAGTTTTATGTGCCTACAAAAAAGTGCACTTTAAACTTAATGACACAGACAGGTTAAGAATAAAAAACTGGAAACTCCTGACACACAAAAAATGTTAGAGTTGCTATATTCACATTATTCAAAACAGATTTCAAAGTAAAGAATAGTACTAGGGATAAAGAAATTGTTTCATAATAAAAAATAGGTCAGGCCAGGTGTAGTGGCTCACACCTGTAATCCCAGACCTTTGGGAGGCCAAGATGGGCTGGAATCCAAGACTAGCCTAAGGAACATGGCATGTCTCTGCAAAAAAATACAAAAAAAAAAAGCCAGGTGTGATGACACATTCCTGTAGTCCCAGCTACTCGGGAGGCTGTGGTGGGAGAATCACCTGAGCCTGGGAGTTCACAGCTGCAGTGAGCTAGATTGCATCACTGCACTCTAGCCTGGGTGATGGAGTGAGACACTATCTCAAAAATAAAATAAAACATAAAATAAATAAATGGGTCAATTCATCAAGTCGTGTATAAACATTTATGTACCAATAACAGAGCTGCAGCATGAAGCAAAAACTGATAGAACTGCAAGGAGAAAGAAACCAATTCATGATTAGAAAGATTTCGATACACATTTCTCAACAATTTATAAAAACAAGTAGATAGAAAATCAGTAATGTTGCAGAAGACATAACACTATCAACAAACTTGATCTAATTGATATTTATAGAACACTTCAGGCAACAATATCATTCTTATCAAGTGCACAGGAGCATTTTCCAAAATAGACCAAATTCTGGGCCATAAAACAAGTCTCAATAAATTTAAGAGGTTTTTAATTCACACAAATTATATCCTCTGACTACAGTGGAATTAAATTAGAAATCAACAGCATGAAAATTATGTGGGAAATCCCCACTGATAAGAAATTAGGGACAGAATTCTGATCTCCCTGGGATTGAGCCCTGGGGTGGAGGGACAGCTGCGGTCTCCACGGATCAGCAGACTTAGTCTTTCCCACTACTGGCTCTGAGGAATTTAGGCACTCTGGACAAGTGAGATTCCCCTCAGCACAACTCACCCCCTCTGCCAGGGGCAGCCAGAGAGCTTCCTTAGGCAGGTCCCTGATCCTATGCCTCCTGACTAGATGAGACAACCCAATAGGGGCTGCCACACACCTTATACAAGAGCTTTCCCACTGGCGTCAGGTTGGTATCCCTCTGGGACAGAGCTCCCAGAGGAAGGAGCAGGCAGCCATCTTGGCTGTTCTGCAGCCTCCACTGGTGAAACCCCCAGGTGCAGAAGGGACCTAGGCAAATAGGGTCTGGAGTGAACACCTAGCAAATCAGAGCAGGCCTAAGGGGCCTGACTATTAAAAAACAAACAAACAAAACAACAACAACAACAGAATCAACAAAAACGTCCCTACAAAAACCCCACCGGAAGGTCAGTAGCCTCAATTGAAGGTTATCTATTGAAGCTAGATAATCTCACAAAGATGAAAAAGAATAAAGAAAAAAATGCAAAAACTCAAAAAGCCAGAGTGCCTCTTCTCCTCCAAATGATCACAACACCTCTCCAGCAAGGGAACAGAACTGGGTAGAAACTGAGATGTTAAACTGACAGAAGTAGGTTTCAGAAGGTGGGTAATAATGAACTTTGCCGAGCCAAAGGAGCATGTTCTAACCCAATGCAAAGAAGCTAAGAACCATGATATAACATTACAGGAGCTGTTAACCAGAATAACCAGTTTATAGAGGAATATAAATGACCTCATGGGGCTGAAAAGCAAAACACAAGAAGTTCACAATGCAACCACAAGTATCAATAGCTGAATAGACCAAGCAGAGGAAATAATTTCGGAGCTTGAAGACTTCCTTGCTGAAATAAGACAGCGAGACAAGATTAGGGAAAAAAGAATGAAAAGGAATGAACAAAACCTTCAAGAACTATGGGATTACGTAAAAAGGTCACACCTACGACTGATTGGGGTACCTGAAAGAGGGAGAATGGAGCCAAGTTGGAAAAAATACTTCAGGATATCATCCAGGAGAGCTTCCCCAAACTAGTAAGAAAAGTCGACATTCAAATACAGGAAATTCAAAGAAACCAAGTAAGGCACTTCATGAGAAGATCAATCCAAGACACATAATTATCAGATTCTCCAAGGTTGAAATGAAGGAAAAACGGTTAAGGGCAGCTAGGCAGAAAGGCCAGATCACCTACAAAGGGAAGCACTTCAGTGGACCTCTCAGCAGAAACCCTATAAGCCAGAAGAGAGTTGCGGCCAATATTCAACATTCTTTAAAAAAAGAATTTCCAACCCAGAACTTCATATCCAGCCAAAATAAGCTTCATAAGCAAAGAAGAAATAAAATCCTTTACAGACAAGCAAATGGTTGGAATTTGTCACCATTAGACCTGCTTTGCAAGATATCCTGAAGGAAGCACTAAATATGAAAAGGAAAAACCATTACCAGCCACACAAAAACATACTGAAGTAGAAAGACCAATGACACTATGAAGCAACTACATCAATAAGCCTGCAAAATAACCAGCTAGCATCATGATGACAGGAACAAGTTCACACAGAACAATATTAACTGTAAATGTAAATGGGCTAAATGCTCCAGTTAAAAGACACAGAATAGCAAGCTGGATAAAGAGTCAAGATCCATCAGTGTGCTGTATTCAAGAGGCCCATCTCACATGCAAAAACACACATAGGCTCAAAATAAAGGGATGGAGGAAAATTTACCAAGCAAATGGAAAGCAGAAAAAAAGCAGGGGTTGCCATCCTAATTTCTGACAAAACATACTTTAAACCACAAAGATCAAAAAAGACAAAGAAGGGCATTACATAATGGCAAAGGGTTCAATTCAACAAGAAGAGCTAAATATCCTAAACATATATGCACCCAATACAGGAGCACCCAGATTCATAAAACAAGTTCTTAGAGACCTACAAAAAGACTTAGACTCCCACATAATAATACTAGGAGACTTTAACACCCCACTGTCAATATTAGACAGATTATTGAGACAGAAAATTAACAAGGATATTCAGGACTTGAGTAACTCAGCTCTGGGTCAAATGAACCTGATAGATATCTACAGAACTCTCCACCCCAAAACAACAGATTATACATTTTTCTCAGTGCCACATGGCACTTAGTCTAAAATCAATCACATAACTGGAAGTAAAACACTCCTCAGCAAATGTGAAACAACTGAAATCATAACAAACAGCCTTTCAGACCACAGCACAATCAAATTAGAACCTGACATTAAAGAAACTTAAAGCCACACAACTACATGGAAATTGAAGAACCTGCTCCTGAATGACTCCTGGGTAAATAATGAAATTAAGGCAGAAATCAAGAAATTCTTTGAAACCAATGAGAACAAAGAGACAATGTACCAGAATCTCTGGGATGCAGTCAAAGCAGTATTAAGAGGGAAATTTATAGCACAAAATGCCCAAATCAAAAAGCTAGAAAAATCTCAAATTGACACCCTAACATCACAACTAAAAGCACTAGAGAACCAAGAGCAAACAAACACCAAAGCTAGCAGAAGACAAGAAATAACCAAGATCAGAGCAGAATTAAAGGATATAGAGACACAAAAAACCCTTCAAAAAAATCAACAAATCCAGGAGCTGGGTTTTTTTGTGAAAAAATTAAGAAAATAGACTGCTAGCTAGGTTAATAAAGAAGAAGAGAAAAATCAAACAGACCAACAGAAAGTGATAAAAGGGATATTAGCATTGAACCCAAGAAATACAACAACCACCAAAGAAAACTATAAACACCGCTATGCAAATAAACTAGAAAATCTAGAAGAAATGAATAAATTCCTGGACACACACACCCTCCCAAGACTGAACCAGGAAGAAGTTGAATCCCTGAATAGACCAATAACAAGTTCTGAAATTGAATCAGTAAATAATAGCCTACCAACCAAAAAAGGCTCAGGACCAGATGGATTTACAGCTGAATTCTACCACAGGTACAAATAGGAGCTGGTATCACTTTTTTCTCTGAAACTATTCCAAACACTTGAAAAGGAGGTACTCCTACCTAACTCATTTTATGAGGCCAGCATCATCCTGATACCAAAACCTGGCAGAGATACAACAAAAACAGAAAACTTTAGGCCAATATCCCTGATGAAAATCAATGCAAAAATTCTCAATAAAATACTGGCAGACCGAATCCAGCAGGACATCAAAAAGCTTACCCACCATGACCACGTCAGCTTCATCCCTGGGACGCAAGGCTGGTTCAACATTCCCAAATCAATAAACATAATTCATCACATAAACAAAACAACAAAAACCACATGATTATTTCAATAGACACAGAAAAGATCTTCAATAAAAGTCAATATCCCTTCATGTTAGAAACTCTCAATAAACTAGGTGTTGATGGAAGATACCTCAAATAATAACAGCCATTCATGACAAACACACAGCCCATATCATATTGAATAGCCAAAAGCTATAAGCATTCCCCTTGAAAACTGGCACAAGACAAGGATACCCTGTCTCTAATCATCCCTAGTCAACATATTTCTTTCAAGAGAAAGAAATAAAGGGTATTCAAATAGGAAGACAGGAAGTCAAACTGTCTCTGCAGATGACATGATCCTATATCTACAAAACCCCATTGTCTCAGCCCAAAAGCTTCTTAAGCTGATAAGCAACTTTGGCAAAGTCTCAAGATACAAAATCAATGTGCAAATATCACAAGTATTCCTATACACCAACAATAGATAAGCAGACAGCCAAATCTTAAATGAACTCCCATTCACAATTGCTACAAAGAGAATAAAATACCTAGGATTACAGCCAACGAGGGAAGCGAAGGACCTCTTCAAGGAGAACTACAAATCACTGCTCAGGGAAATCAGAGAGGACACAAACAAATGGAAAAATATTTGATACTCATAGATAGGAAGAATCAATATTGTGAAAATGACCATACTGCCCAAAGTAATCTATAGATTCAATGCTATTCCCATTAAACTACCATTGACATTCTTCACAGAATTAGAAAAAACTACGCTGAATTTCATATGCAACCAAAAAAGAGCCTGAATAGCCAAGACAATCCTAAGCAAAAGAACAAAGCTGGAGGCATTACGCTACCCAACTTCAAACTATACTACAAGGCGATAGTAGTCAAAACAGTATAGTGCTGGTACAAAAACAAACACATAGATTAATGGAACAGAATAGACATCTCAGAAATAAGACTGCACATCTACAGCCATCTGATCTTTGACAAACCTGACAAAAACAAGCAATGGGGAAAAGATTCCCCATTTAACTAATGGTGCTAGCCAGATGCAGAAAATTGAAACTGAACACCTTCTTTACACCTTACACAAAAATTAGCTCAAGATGGATTAAAGACTTAAATGTAAAACCCAAAACTATAAAAACCCTAGAAGAAAACCTAGGCAATACCATTCAGGACATAGGCACAGGCAAAGATTTCATGACAAAACACGAAAAGCAATCGCAACAAAAGCAAAAATGGACAAACTGGATCTAATTAAATAGCTCCTGCACAGCAAAAGAAACTATCATCAGAGTGAACAGACAACCTACAGAATGGGAGAAAAATTTCACAATCTATCCATCTGACAAAGTTCTACTATCTAGAATTTATAAGGAACTTAAACAAATTTACAAGAAATAAAAAAACCCCATCATAAAATGGGTGAAGGATATGAACAGACACTTCTCAAAAGAAGTCATTTATGTGGCCAACAAACATATGAAAAAAAAGCTCATCATCACTGATCATCAGTGAAATGCAAATGAAAACCACAATGTGATATCATCTCATGCCAGTCAAAATGGTGATTATTAGAAAGTCAAGAAACAACAGATGCTGGTGAGGTTGTGGAAAAAAAAGGAACACTTCTACACTGTTGGTGAGAATATAAATTATTTCAACCATGTGGAAGACAGTGTGGTGATTCCTCATAGACCAGAAATACTATTTGACCCAGTAATCACATTACTGGCTATATACCCTAAGGAAGAGAAATCATTCTGTTATAAAGATGCATGCATGCATATGTTCATTGCAACAATATTCACAACAGAAATATATGGAATCAACCCAAATGTCCATCAATGATAGACTGGATAAAGAAAACATGATACATATATACCTTGGAATACTATGCAGCCATAAAAAGGAATGAGAGCACATCCTTTGCAGAGACATGGATGGAGCTCAAAGCCATTGTCCTCAGCAAACTAATACAGAAATAGAAAACCAAACATGGCATGTTCTGACTTATAAGTGGGAGCTGAACAATGAGAACACATGGACACAGGGAGGAGAACACACACTGGGGCTTGTTGCAGGGAAGGGCGGGAGGAGGGAGAGCATCAGGATAAATAGCTAATGCACGCTGGGCTTAATACCTAGGTGATGGGTTGATAGGTGCAGCAAACCACCATGGCACACATTTACCTATGTAACAAACCTGCAGGATGTGCAGGTTTATTACATAGGTATATAGGGTTTTTTAAAATTAAAAAAAAAGAAATTAAATAGCACATTTCTAAATAACCCATGGGTCATAGAAGAAATCAAAAGAAAAATTAGAAAGTATTTTCAACTGAATGAAGATGAGGATATTATATATCAATATTTGTGTGATGCCCCTAAAGCAGTATTTACAGGGAAATTTATAGCAGTAGCTCTTTTTTTGTTGTTGTGGGGTTTTTTTGGTTGTTGTTGTTTGTTTGTTTGAGACGGAGACACACGGAGCTACAGCCAGACCAGACTCAGGAGATTCCAGGTTGCCAAGCTCATGTTCTTTCAAATACAATCCACCACCGCTCTTTGGAATCCCCATGATAAGGTTGGCAAATGAAGATGTTTCCAGCTAAAAAGCCAAAAAATGAAAGTTTACCCTTTTTTATAAGTCGATACATTATCTTGGACTGCCTAATGACATTTTTACAGGTATGTTATAGACCTTTGTATCATAAATTAGGTGAAAAGAAGTGCTAGAGTTATGTTGAGTTGTATTCCTTTGTTTATTTTTTAAAACTTCATGGAATGTTAAATGAATATTATTGAATACAGCAAAATTTGCTTTAACTTATTTAAATAAGTCATGAAAAATATAAATGTCAATATGTTAGTGGTTAAGAACAGAGACATTGGAATTAGTTGTGTTCAAATTCCAGTTCTACAAATTCCAGCTCTGTTTGTCAATGGAAAATTCACTTATCTTGTATCAGTCTATTTGTTCATCTTTAAAATGGAGCTAAAAAGAACTTGTTGCAGAAGCATTTGTTGAAGCTAAGAGCACAGTTGCCATGAAGGTTAGATAAAACAGGGAAGGTATTGCATTTAAAACAGTGACTAGAGTATGATGAGAGAGAGAGAGAAAAAGAGCCATGAAATGGAGTTGAAATATTAGACAGGGACATATCTCTTTTTGGTTCAAAATAGGTGCTATCAACATTCTCCACTGCAAGAAGAAAAGGTAAGGAACAAGGCTAGGAACAGATTTTTGTCTTACCCATAAGCACTGAGAAACTGAAATGGAAATTTAGGATGTTGTTTGGAATAACAGATATCTTAGAAACTAGAACCCTGCCAAGCTGAACTTCTGACAAGTAGGATCAAATAACATTAAGTTTCAGGGTATCTTTTTTCCCAAGAACAAAATGCCTAGATGCGAGAGTCCCTATGAAGTATGCCAACCTGACCATGGAATCCAGATGCTCATATCCCACCACCTAACAGACCTGCCACCTGCTGTCCCACGGGCACTCCTAATTCACAGTGCTCAGCCTTGAATTACTCACCCTTAACACTGCCATAATTAGCACCCCACCACACACACTCACGAATGCTGCTTGTCCTCAAGTATTCTCTACCTCACTTGTGGCTTCAATGTGGTAGTGACTCTTTTCCTGTGACAGAAAGCTGAGAATCAGCCAGATTCTTCCCTCATCCCCCACATTCAACCAGATCTACAAATTCTGTCTCTTTCCCAACTAACTCTGTCCTCTCTGTTCTGTTTCATTCTGTCTTCAATCTTCTTGACCAACTCTCACCTGAAATATGATAGCTTCCTAACTGGTCTTCCTCTATTCCATCTTCTCTTCTAAAGAAATCGCCTGCCCTGATGTTCACAAATATCTACAACACCAGGGCAACCCAGTCCCTCTGCTAAATCCTTTAATGCCACCACCAGTATCTACAGATAAACACAGGCTCCTAAACAATGGCATAAGAACTGCCTCATAATGTTTCTTCTGTTTAGATCTCCAGCCACTGATCTGTCCTACCTTCACTCTCCCATCTCTATCTTCCAACAATAATGAATTTCTAATTATTAAAATGGCCATATTTCTGTGCCTTGGGCATGCAATTCTTTCTGCCTAGAATGCTCCTTCTCACCTCCTCTTGTCCACCTAGTGAACTCAGTGAAGCCTTCCATGACACACACCTCACAATGGTGCCCCACAAAGTTAATCACTCTGATGTTTATATTTATACTGTTGCCTCTAACAGGCTATACTGTAAGCATTTATTTATATGACTCTCTACCACACTCAAATGACAACTCCTCAAGCTTAGGGGTGGTGCGTTATTCATCTATGTATCTGCATATGTGTTAGAGTGCCTGGCATATATGATTAGAGCTTCATCTGTCTTTTAATCCAATGTGAGCTGTTTACTGACCCTTGATTCTCTTCATGCTTATACATATGATATTTTTGCAGGATCTATTCTGGGAATTTCTATATGCCCTGGTTACAATGCCTAATAGAAGTCAATGATGAAATATAACATACTCTTCAGCTCAAACCAAAAGAGGCCACGTTGATGGACCGAGGATTTGGAAAGGGGGCATTGAATCAAATATCAGGGTGAAAGCATTCCAGTGCTGATGGTCATGGGATGGGACAAGATTGGGCTCATTCTGGCATTGTAAAGGGGCAGGCAATTTGAGGGAATCTGGAATTCATTTGGATAGGGACTGTAAATCAATCTTTTGCACTCTCTCTGGCAGATGGTGTCCTTCATCACAAAAAGAGGCTCTGTCATGATGAGTCAAATGTTTATTGTGTTGAGTCAGCAATACCAGCTCTTCCATGTCAGTACTCAACTAACTGCTAGCAACACATCATTAACAAACTGCAAAACCCACACGTCCCCTCATGACGTTCAGCATTAAACTGGAACATGTTTAAAGCCAACTGTACTAAATCCAACAGGATTGGAAAAGCAGTAATCAGCTCTTTAATCACCTTTATTATGCACCATGGTTATTTAATTGATTCTTTTAATAGCCCCCAAACTTAACTTCCTCATGCCAATCTAAATGTCTCTTCTGCACCTGCTTTGTCTTTTATGTAAAACTTCTCTCCTTTTCTCACTATTAACTCTAAAGAAGATAAAGTTTTCTTTATGAGTTTACCAAACAAAGCAAAGAAGCTAAAATTTACCAATATGGAACTGCCCTTTTTGGCAAAACAGAAGCCAACACTCTTGGGTATGATGCCACATTAATGACATGCAACTTCGTCACATAATGGAACTTGACTTCTGGAAATTTCCTTTGAATGAGAAGTTCTCTGTCCACGGAAAATCCAGTCCTGCAGCACAGAGAATCCAGCGTTCTGTGGTTGAACAGAAAGCTCTGTCTTCACTAACACATACTGTCCAACATTTACAGAATTCAATTGAACGGGATTCCCTTGTGACAATGAGGAAACTCCCAGAATGGACAGAGTACTTCATAATAGAAAACCCAACTCTGTTCTGCCAAGAACAATGGTGCAATCTCATCCCTTCAGCCATCGCTCGTGCAGAGAGTTGTTTATTTAGCCCATTTTCTGCCCCATATGGCACAAACCACCTTTCTATTTCTTCCACTTCAGCAGAATCCTAACTTGAAATTAAATACTTGTATCCAGACAATGGAATATTATTCAGCACTAAAAACAAATTAGCTATCAGGCCATGAAAAGACACAGAGTTAACTTAAATGCATATTACTAAGTGAAAGCAGCCAATCTGAAAAGGCTACATACTAAGTGATTCCAACTATATGACATTCTAGAAAAGGCAAGACTATGGAGTAAAAAAATTAATTGTTGCCAGGGATTGGGGAAAGGGAGGGATGAACAGGTAGGGCATGAGGATTTTTAGGGCAGTGAAACTACTCTGTATGGTGCTATAATAGTGGATAGCTGTCATTATACATTTGTCAAAGCCTGCAGAATGTACACCACCAAGAGTGAAGACTAATGTAAACTATGAATGTAAACTATGGACTTTGGTTGATAATGATGTGTCAGTGTAGGTTCATCAGTTATAACAAATGTATCACTCTGGTGGGTAATGATAATATGGGAGGCTATGCATGCATGGGGCAGGGATATGGGAAATTCTGTACTTTCCACTCAATTTTGCTGTTAACTTAAACCTTCTCTAAAAAAACTTAACTTTGTTAATTAAAAAATTAAATATCTGATAAAGAGGCCTTTCCACCTGCTTATACAGATAGATATCCTTTCTGTTTTATTGAGCCATTCTGAAGTCTCTCCTATATACAAAAATCTTAGAATATCTCTTTAGATTTCTATTTTCTAATTGCAATAATCTATCTCATACCTTTTCCTATTTAGATTTAACAGCCTAAGCTGAACTAAGAATAGTTTAGACACATAACTTGCTTGATTCCCTCCTTTATCAGAGGATGCTGGCTCTCCAAAGAGAATAAATGTAATGGGATTCAATTTTAATCAGTGTAATTGTTGCTGCCTTAGTACTGAACTATTACATTTTATTCACAGTTATCAATTTCACGGAAAAAAAATTGCAGTGGGTTGAAAATGCCTTAGAACCACATAATAAAGACTCTCATAGTTCACCACACACTATGCTATTAGTTGGCACAGACAACCTTACTCAGAACATACGTGGCCCTCTCAAACCCAGGCACCTTTCAAATCAAGATAAAATTCATAAAGGCAAAAGTTTCTTCTACTCATCTCCTTGTAGCTTCCTGCAGCAGTCAGCCAGCTCTCTCTTTTCTCCAACACTGAATCCTGGCCCACACTCAGTTGTATCATAAAACCTTAGACGTTTAGTAAACTATGAAATCAACCAGAACATTAAGATAAATTGTGATTGCATGCAGTGGTTAAAAAAAATCTTTCCAATAGAGCTGGGTGTAAGCAAATGCAAGCCAAATTCTCAAGATTTTACAAGGGCGTGCAAAATGTCTTGATGTTGCCTGTCTCTCAGAACTGCAAATGGGGACTATTCCATGAAAGATAACAGAGAGCGCTCATGCTGGTTTTACATTTTAGGCAAAGATTTCCTAATTATTTCTCCACTTGACGTTTGCTTTTGTAACTTTCATTTGAGCAGGTAGGGTGGAGCCATTTCCTGTTTGGCAGTGGGTGATACAGTTCTCAGGCAATAAAACCTTAGAGCTCCCTGACTGAAGTGTTTCCTCCATGTTTGATGGCCCTCTCAGTTTTCCACTCTTAATCAGTCCCCTCCGGAGCACATCCACATACAGTTTATATTACACGATCTTTATTGTAAAAACACATGCAAAGTACTGTCCTACAATGGATTAGAGCAACCCTATCTCCTCCCTACCTCTATCCACAGGGATTTTCATAGCCTGGCAATCCGTAAACAGAAAAATAAATCTTGTTCAGAAACGGGCCGTGGTATATTAAGCTGCAGGCTGAACGCTTTGGTTTGAGTAGCTGTTTTATAATATTTTTGTTTCTCTGGCACTAACCCACGTGCTTGTGAAAAGTCAACCATATTAACATTGTATCTTCACGTTGCTACCCTATCTGCTGCATCATTTGGCACCTTGGGGGAAGCCCATGCCCATTTTCATGCTGACAGGAAGCTTTCTGAGCTGGTATCGTAGGTGGTCTCACACCTGCTTCTTGAGCCAGAGCACCAGCAGCTGTTATTCTAAAGCCTGCTTTGAGTAGGCTGAATTTTGTTGATACATTTCCATTTATGAGGTAATGTTTGCAGCTTAAGACCATGTGAATTTCTATGTACCTGGCTGAAGAAATGAAAATTGCATAGCACCATTAAACAACTTTTTTTCCACGTAGAATATACATACACCCACAAGATCCTCCCACATTTAAATTTAGTCACAAAACCAAAGAAAAAAAATAGTGCATTAAAAAATGAAGCACAACAGTGTCCTTGCCTCTGCCTCATTTATTCCCAGCTTAAATATTCCCAGCAGTCAACAATCTGTGCCTGTGCCAGAGCCGTCTGTCAAAGATTTCATACGCCCCAGGTCTTCTACCTTCTAAGATTGGAGTTATATACATTATATATATATATCACATACACACAGTGAGGATGGAAAAATAAGCCTCTCCAAAAGTGAAATGATTCCCCCAAAAATCAATAGATAAAAATTGTAACCATTTTGACTAATGTCTAAAGTAGAAGCCTACTATTAGGTGAATGTACAGTCATACAGAAAATCGGACAATGGGTCCCCAAACAAGCAGTAAAAAGTCTCTCAATGCCAGTTTTTAAAAATTCAAGCTATATAACATAAACTCCATTGTAAATTGTTTCATATGTTTGCAAGCCACCTGTGGGCTAATCAAGTGTAAATAGACCTAAAATTTTCTAAATTCTAAGCACCTGACATTAAGAATATATTGGTCAAAATGTATATTTCTCCACATTCAGTGATTTTGATTTTAATCCTGAAAAATTCTAAGGACAAAATTCCTTGGGACAGATTATAGAATATTTGTCACGGTTCAAAGACTTTTTATAACATAACATCAAATAAGTCATGAAAATTGTTATTAAGATCGACATTTTTATTCCATATCTCCAGGCTAAAGCACCAATTGATGGCCACCATTAAACTTTTCAGTTCATAACGTCAAATCTCATAGGCAGAGACTGATTATTTTATTTCTTTCCTTATATTAGTATGCATTTCTGTGAAGATTCAGCCCTTCCTTTCTTCCTTCCCCCTTTCTCCTACTCCTCCTCTCTAGTATTACAGCACATGTACACGGGGCTTACATTTTGTATTCTAATAAGAATAAAGTGAAGCGTTTCATGAACATGCAAAAAGCTAGTGAAACTGACAAAGATTCATACATAGATGCCATTAGTCAAGTGCATTTTTATGTTAAATCTTTAACTTTCAGCAAAGAGAGTTCGTTAAGAACTTGGTTCACTACGTCTTTCAGGGTTCTCTATATAATGTTCCACACATAAAAAGACAGAACTAAGTACTTGAAAAAGCTTTTCTTTCTCTCAGGAACAGAGATGAGTTCCTTTAGAAACAGCCTAGTACAATGGTGAAAAGCAAAGACCCTGGGGTCAGGCTGCTTGGGTTCAAAATGTGGATCCACCAATTTTGAGCTGTATGATCTTGGACAAACTACTTCACCTCTCTTATTATTCATTTGCAAAATCAGTTGTTTGGGGGAGGGGGTCCATGTGTAAGATATATATATATACACACACACACACATACGTATATATACACACATATATATTTGAGATATAGAGTTATATACATGTAGATATGTACACACATATACATGTACATATATATATACACAAACTATGCACATATATACATGTACATATATATATATACACACAAACAAACCACTTAGAACTTAGTATTTACTGCTTAGTATTTATCTCATAGTAAGTGCTTATTTTTATTATTTGTGAACACTAAGAACTATATGACTGCCCAGGTTCACTTTTTCATTTTGACCACCAGAAAATTTGGGTCAAATATTCCGCACAACTATAGTAACCAATAATATTTTGCAGCTTAAATAGCTACGATCTATTTGTTTTTTTCTCAGTCTACCTTTTTTTGCAAATCTACATTTTTCGTGTTCTTGACTTATTATTAAATCATATATATTTTAATAGCATGATTTAAATTATTTGTATACAAAGGAGGAGAAAAATATGTTAAAGTAATTCTAGAAATTACCGATAAATTTGTAGCTACAAATATGTAGATTTGAAAGTGCCCAAGACAAATCTGAGTAGAGTGATCAAATAATTTAAAAGAAGAAATTTAGGCCCTGTATTTATGACCTGTTGCAACGAAGCATTTATTAATCAGAAAAGAGTGGTCTGCCTACAAAAGAGAAACTAAAAATGTTTATTCCCATTTACAGGACAGCGGAGGCACTCACTTTATCTATCAGTGTCTTGTGAATTTGGTTACCATGAGGGTGATGCTCTGAAAACCTAATAAACATTGAAAACATGGGTCGGGCAACTGAGCTTTTAAAATTACAAAGCTGAGAACAGATTATGGGACACTGCTCATATTAAGTCAGAAAGATAAAAAAGATGTCAGTCTTGAAGATTTTTTTTTTTAATTCTTAGAACCACGTCTTCACAATCCACAAAACTGTAGAATGTTAAAAAATGTATCACAAAGACATTGGTCATCTCAGAGAACTATTAAAATAATAAGAACCAATCAATCTCCAAAATTATTGCACTGAAAACCATTCTCTCAATGGCTGGGTGGCATGCTCACTGGGAGAGCTGAGACGTATGCTTCACGAATACAGAGCAGTAACTTTGTTTTAGGATGACAAAAATCCTGGATATCTTTTCTGAGACATTTGGCAAGTTTTGGGGGTATATCACTAGGTACACTGCCAGTATAAGGGACACCATATAGTCCTATGCCATGAGCTTCATTTCCCCCAGCTGCCTCCCACCTGTGCTCCTGGTTGGGACCCTGGCATCTTTGCCAAGGAACTTAGTTACCATCGTCATTGAAAACACTGAGTTCACGTTGCAGATGCTGATGAGCATAGGCCAACCAGGAAACGATATCTTCTTTGGGGTTGCAGATGCCGTGAAAGACACAGAAGCCCTTAATGGATTAATGAGCAAATGCAAGCTCTATGTCCATGCAAACAACTATCTCCACAGTTCTATGTTGAGAAGAGCTTTTGCATCTTGCCTCAACCCATTATGCAGAGCAGGTGATAAATAATTTCCTCAAAAACAGGCATGCCACATGGAAGCAGATTGGGTTGTACACTCAGATGATGACAACTTTTGCAGGAAATCCCCGCATTTGGAAGTTAACAATTATGAGGAAAATTTTACTTCAGTAACACGAGCAGAGTGGTCTCTATTCAAGCCTAAATGTATCCCTAATATCCCTACTTAGTCCCAGACACCTTTACACTACACA
The DNA here is from genome assembly GCF_000001405.40 of Homo sapiens. Taxonomy (NCBI): domain Eukaryota; kingdom Metazoa; phylum Chordata; class Mammalia; order Primates; family Hominidae; genus Homo; species Homo sapiens. The sequence goes on along the minus strand of NC_000012.12, from coordinate 42,929,798 downwards.
TTTTCTAACAATTAAAGGTTCATTTGGGTTAATGTTTTGTAAAATGTAACCTGAGATTAGCTAAACCTCTTTCAACAAGAAGATTCTTGGTGAGCTACGCAAAAGTAGTTTCAGTAAGGGTGTAAGAGAAATCAGGCAAAAAAGTTTGAAGGTTAATTAATGGTGAAAAGAGTAGACTTCAAGGATAGAAAGGTTTTTTGGGGTGTTTTTTTAGACATTTGGCTGCAAAGGGGGAAGATGTTAATTCAAGGGTGACTTCCTCAAGCCACTGCCAAATGAGAGCCCACAAGGTCAGCCAGAGAGTATGTTGCACATATCAGAGAAAATCTCAGTATGCAGGTCTCCGCAGGGAACCCCCAGAGAACTCAAAGTTGCCCCATTTGAGAGTGCCCTATATAGGCACCTGCCAAGCAGGTAGCTAGATCTCAATAGCATCTCCCCTAGGATAATCACCTTTTTCCCTTAAACTTACCTACTCACTCCCATAAAAGGGTAACTTACAGAGGGAGACCCTTGCCAAACTGAAAAGAGATATGGCCCAGGGCTCAGGTGAAAAAGATTAATTGTAATTGGGAAGAAGAATCTTGATAATAGGGAAGATAGAGGGTGAAGTTTTTTGCTGAGAGTCCCTCTGCGTGGTGGCCTCTGTGGTATAGAACTTCATGTATGATTTAAAAAAAAAAAGGAGGCACCTTGAGGGTTAGAAAGTTGGGGTGAATGGCCAAGATCAGAAATAACAATTGTGGAAAATGGGAAATGGAGAGAGAACAGTTCCCAGAATTAGACTACATGGTTTCATACAAACACACTGCATGTTTTGGAGCAAGTTAGTTTTTAAGCCTCAGTTTGTAATAAAATCATAAGCAATCTACATCATAGGAGAAATAAATGAGATAATATGTGCACAGAACTTAGAACCATGCCTGGCACAGGGCTTTCTAGCTCAAAGATTCTAGCCATGATAAGACACTACCTGGAAATAGAAGGAACATTTCCTGGAAGTGTAGGAGACCCAGCTAAACTGTCGCCTGGCTCACCTAGCACCTATACCTTTTGTTAATTTTCTCCATTATACGTATCACCCAGGAGAACACTAATACTTTTATATATATATATAGAGAGTTCCCATTCTACCCACTAGAATGTATGCTCTATGAAGACAAGAATTTTTGTCTGTTTTGTTCATTAATTCACCCCCAGCTCTTACAAGAATTCCTGGCACAGAACAGATTCTGAAAAAATACTCTTTTGAAGAAGCTGAATAAATTAATGACAGAAGATGGGTGCTCTCTAGACTGGTAACTCCTTGAAGGCAAACACTCAAACACTGAGTCCTTTACTTCTGTATTCTCAGCATCTGGAGAAGTGTGGATGCACAAAACAGACTGTAAGTTTTGATAGTTACAATAGACACACAGAGGAAGTGACTTGACTTCTCTGAGCCTAGGACTCCTCATCAGTAAGTGCTGGGATTAATGATCTCTACCTTTCAAAGTGGATTTGAGGAGTAAAGGAGAAAACAGGTAAAGTACCAGCACAGTGTCTAGCACATGGTAGATGCCTCAGTGGTTATTGGCTGCTTGGTCTTCCAGATCCATTCTCAGCCCTTCTCTGTCTCGCTGTGTGCCCTGGAGAATGGCCTCAGTAGACTGCAAACCTGAGCTCCTTTACCCTCTGGTTAAGCCAGCGGCCTAGAGGTGGGAGAAGAGAAAGGAGGGACTATTTATTCCCCAAATCCATATTATCCATTTCTCCTCACCTCTCCACCCCCAGTTCTTCTTCTGCCCAGCCTTGGTTTATCAGCAGCTACATTCTGCTGCTGTCCTGCCACATCTATTAAAGGCCACAGCTCTCATTGGCTCCCAGTAATAACTCCCTCCCTTAATTACAGTAACCAGTTTGTCCAGGACTTTCTCAATTTTAGCACTAAAGTCTCATGTCTCAGAAAACCTCTCAGGTCCAGGAAAACAGGGATGAATGGTCACCCTATTCCCCTTGCCTTTTCGGTCCTAATGTAAAATTCTAACCACTAACCTCTCTAGGCCTGTCAGGTTATTTTCTAAAGTGATGGGATTATGAATAATTTTTACTTTATAATGTTTAGTATTTTTTCAAATTAGATACATATATACATACATACATAAATTGGAGCAGGGCTCTGGAAGATGGAAATCTTGTGTTCTAGGCCGAACTGCAATTATATGACCTTGGGCAAGTTACTTAACATTTCTGGTCCTCTGCTAAGTCATTTGTGAACTGGTTTATCACACCTGTTGAATTTTTGATGTTACCTCCTTCTAGAGAAACACTAGACCCTATCAATGACTTCAGGTCTCTCAAGACATGAGCTGAGTAAATATCTTGAAGGAGTAATAATTTTCCCATTGGTTGTTTGACCTCTTAGTTTGACTTCTAGCACATTATTACCTGAAACTTTCTGATTCAAGGTATTAATAATCTCCTTACTGATTGTCTAATCCAATTGTATATCCAGTCATTTCCCTGACATTTGCTATGACCTACTGTAGTGGTTTGAATTGTGTCCCACAAAAACATATATCCAAGTCCTAACCCCTGGCACCTGTTTACATAACCTCATTTGGAAATAGGGTCTTTGCAGATACAATTAAGGATCTTAACATGAAATCATCCTGCATTCAGGATGGGCTCTAAGTCCAATGACTGATTTCCTTATAAGGAAAACAAGAGGGAGATTTGAGACACAAAGACAAAGAGAAGCAGCTCATGTAGAGATGGAGGCAGAGGTTGAAGTTGCTCAGCCACAAGCCAAGGAACACCAGAAGCCACCAAAAGCTGAAGAGGCAGGGGAAAATTCTCCCCTAGAGCCTTTGGAGAGAATGTGGCTTTGCTGGCACTGTGATTTAGGATTTCTAGCATCCAGAACTGTAAAAGAATGCATTTCTGTTGTTTTAAGCCACCAGTTTGCAGTAATTTGTTATGGCAGCCCTAGAAGGCAAATATACCTGCTCTCCCTTGGTTTTCAAGAGAGTCTTATTTTTTTTGTTTCTCTCCTATCCTTATGTATATAAACAGTCATTCTTTCTCAGGACACTTCACTGACACATTGTCTTTTGTCTCCTGTAATGACATGTTTCTGCAAAGCTTCGATCATGGCCCTCTTCTAAGGGTTGTACCATAAACAGCTTTCCTCAACTGAGTGGTTTCCCACCATGAAATCAAACCCCATAATGGGTGATAATTCCCAGTACTCTATCTTCTACAATAAACCAGGCACCTCTTCTTGGATATGCTACAGTCAATTCAAACCAAATATGCCCAAACTTGAACTCATGGTCTTCTCCCACAAACTTATTCTTTCTCCCTATTCCCTAATCAGTCAATGACATCATCATCTATCCACTCTTCCAAGCTTTGAAGAAATGATCCTCATCACATGGACTAGTCATTTCTATCTCAGAAAGATTTCTTGAGCCCTCCTTACTTGTCCATCCACAAAGCCACTATCTAAGATCACAACTGCCACTGATTCAGGTCACAGGTACTGTAACCAGCTCCCTGGGATAAACATATCTCAATTTTTGTCCATTCTCAACATTACCTTCAAAGTTATCATCCTGAAAAGTCAAAATCATCTTCTTCCCACCGTTTGACTTCAAAGTTTCCTCTGGTCCTTATTGCCTGAAGCAGTGATTCTCAACCAGTTTTCTACCACACTTAGAACAGATGTTCATATGCACTAATGGGTCACTTTCTATATAATTCACTGAATGTTTGCCATAACCCCTCCTTTTTCTTTTCCACTGAAGAAACACATCAAAATAAAAGTGAAGGAAGACTTATGTATCAAAATAACTTCAAGTGTTCTCTAGTTGAGAGCAAAACTAATCATTTTAGAAAATTTCAGCATTTTAGTATTCATAATAAATTACTTGCAACATATCTCCTGGGCACACTGCACTGTGGCATAGAAGTTAAGGACAAATAGCCTAGATAAAAGTCCAATTCTCCTCAGTATACAATACAGAGCCTTCACGATTTTACTGAATTTTTTTTTTTTTTTTTTTTTGGAGACAAAGCCTTGCTTTATAGCACAGGCTAGAGCGCAGTGACACAATCTCAGCTCACTGCAACCTCTGCCTCCAGGGCTCAAGTAATCCTCCCACCTCAGCCTCCCCAAGTAGCTGGGACAACAGGCATGCGCTTCCATGCTGGCTAATTTTTTTCTTTTTGAGACAAAGTCTCACTCTGTCACCCAGGCTGGAGTGCAGTGACACAATCTCAGCTCACTGTAGCCTCTGTCACCCGGGTTCAAGCAATTCTCCTGCCTCAGCCTCCTGAATAGCTGAGATTACAAGCGCCTGCCACCACGCCTGGCTAATATTTATATTTTTAGTAGAGATGGGGTTTCACCATGTTAGCCAGGCTGGTCTCAAACTCCTGACCTCAAATGATCTGCCTGCCTCAGCCTCCCAAAGTGCTGGGATTACAGGCATGAGCCACCACACCTGGTCACACCAGCTAATTTTTATGGTTTTTGTTTGTTTGTTTGTTTGTTTGTTTGTAGAGATGGGGCTTCGTCATGTTGCCCAGGCTGGTCTTGAACTCCTGGACTCAAACGATACTCCTGCCTTGGCCTCCCAAAATGCTGGGATTACAGGCATGAGCCATCGCACACAGCCTGCTGCAATTTTTAATTTTCTCTTATTCTCCATATCACATCCTGTACTCCCGTGACACTGAATTACACAGCATTTGCTGAAGACATCTGCTTATTAACTTTGAATTTGCCATTATGTCTCTTCCACCTGTATTGTCCTTCACACCTTTGTGCAACTGGCAAGCTGTTCTGTCAAGACCCTAAATAGCACCTTCTCTGGGACACCTTCCCTGAAACTTAGACACAGTTGCTCCTTTCTCCTTCTGGTACAGTATTTTATGTATACCTATAAGAATTTCCTGAGGCTCCTGTAGCAAATTAAAACAAGAGATTAATGCTCTCACAGTTCTGGAGGCCAGAAATTTAAAATCAAGGGGGTGGTGGGGTTGGTTCCTCCTGGAGGCTCTGAGGGAGAATCTTCCTTGCCAATTTCCAGCTTGTGACCTCTGGCCACCTTTTGGGGTTGCATAATTCCAGTCTCTTTCCCTGATCATCACATAACCTCTGTGTGTCTCTGTGTCTCAAATTTTCCTCTCCTTTCTTATATAAGGACACAGTAAAAGATTGAGGGCCCATCCTAAATCCAGGATGATCTCATCGTGAGACCCTTCATTACATCTGCAAATATCCTATTTCTAAATAGCTTTATATTTATGGGTACTTGGGGTTAGGGCTTGGACATATCTTTTTGTGGAACACAATTCAGCCAAGCACAGTATCTGTGTCAGACCTCATCATCGTAATTTGTTCACACATATACCTCCCTTCACCAGAGTGTGGGCTCCTAGAGGGCAAGAACCATCTCCTACTCTTTTTTCTTAGCTAATTCCTACAGTTTGTCATAGCACTCAGCACCTACTAAGTATTCAATAAATGTTAGGGAAGAAGAAGGGGAAAAGCAGATGGATCATAAATGAAATTGTTTCTTTTCCTCTGGTGCAGCTTCTCTCTGCTTCCAAGAATCTTCCATGCACAATACCCTTAATGAGAACACTACCAACAACCAGTCCCAAAGGGCCACCAAAGTGACACTGAAGGTTTTCCTGTCTTTTCACAGAGTGGCAGATTTGAAAGCATTTGGAAGTCTTCAGTCCCTGCCTTGAGTCACTCTGTACAGTTTGTTTGATGTAGCAACTGATAAACTAGACTGAGGGGGATCCATCCTGTTTTTAAAGGCCAATAGAGAAATGCTTTTTAAAATGTCCCTTTGGGATTCCATTCCCTTTGCTACTTAGTTTTTTTTTAATGCCCAATTTTCTCCTTATACATAATGTTGCATGTCCCAGGCTTTCATCCCTCTGCCAACCACATAGAGGCTCAAATTTTGAGACCTTAGGAAATCCTTTCCAATTGCTTCCCTCCTCTTGGAAACTGAACACAGCTCAAGAGGCAGATAATCTAGAGTTCTTGGCCTGAGACAGACCACTGAGATTTCCAAAGCTCCATCTGAGTAGCTCTAAAGTTCAAAGATAAGCACAGCATTAACTTTTAGAAAAAGAGTAGTGGATCACCCAATTAATTACTTCAAAAATTTCCACTTACAACTGTATAACTAATAATTATTCATTTCTTTTCCTCTTAACCCTGGACTTTTAAGCTGCCTATAAAGCCAAAACTATTATATCTTGCTGTTTCAAGATTAAGTTTCATTTTAGTTCCAGAAAGAAGTCAAAACAAAAAGGAGAAGGGAAAAGAGAAACACCTCTAAGCCATGCATAGTTAAGGATTTGGTTTCAGATCAATGTTAAAAAGCAGAGATAATTAGAAACATCATATGATTTGTGTACAACACAAGAGCTGCATTGCTAACTAAAACCATAACTGACCTAATTTTACTGAATGTTCCAATGAAAATGACAGACATGCAAGAAAGAAATATAATACAAACAGTGGATGATCCATATTTTCCCCTTGAGTTTCAAACACATTCCTCAGACGGCGTACAAAGCTGACATGTTATTGACAAGAGTACAGGCCTTCAGATGGCCAGCAAAAGAGTGTCTGCACATCAGAAAACCCACAAGATTATAGCCACTTTGCCCCTACAAGACTATACTTTTTTTTAATTAAACCTCGGTGTATTCAGAGAATGGAACAGAAAGCGAATTTAAAAACACAGTCCATCACAAAATCCTTCTTTTTCATTAAATACGTTAACAAATGTAAAAATCCTATCATGGGAATTTATTTTTCTCTTTCAATATAGGACAATATTAACTAAATCTCTACCCTCCCCTAAATGATTTACAGGTCCCTAACTTCACACTGAGGGGTACCCGCGTGACACAGAAAGTAACACCCTGAAGTCTAATCTCTCTTTCAGACAGTTGCTCATTATTTATTGCAGCTATTTCTCCATGTAAACATTCTTGTGAAGAGGGCACATTTTGTAAGTTATCTCAGATCATCTGGCAGGATTGAAGCTATAAACTGGCATTTTATTTAACTGGCTCTACTTGGAAATTCCTCACATCAGTTCTGCTTTTACAAAAGGAGTCAGGCTGTGCTGTTTTCTCCTACATATTCTATACCGAATCCTGGTAAGCAAATGCTTATGGAGTCCTCCCAATAAAGTGTCAGAATACAATGTCAACAATAGCAAGATTGAGAGGATCCAGGGAAAATTCTCGTCCGTAATAAATGAGGATGAGAGCACCAGCAAATTGGAAAGTCCAGCCTCCGTAACATCTTATCTACATCTAGGCTGTGCCGCATTATCTAATGCGGCTTATCTGTCTCCCTCCTTTCAAGTAAGGACCTGCCCTGCATTCTTGATTCCCATAGCTTTAGCAGTAAAAGATAGAAGGATACACTCGCCACAGAGGTGACTGAGTTCACTATTGTTTAGGAATTGGCTCATTTATTAAAGAGATGTTGTCTCACACCAACAGCAGATAACAATATTGGCTCCCTGTGAACTTGCTGAGGTATTGTGTGTTCAAGATTCAAGTAAAGATAGGCCAGTCCCTTGGCCAAACACTCAGCAATGTTACCATTGCTGACATTCTCAGGATGGAGGAGGTAGGCATTGCCATCTGGATTTCAGAGGACTGCTGAGACTTATTACCTTTTCACTAGAAAGCAATTCTGTTTCTACATGAATAGGGCCTTGTATTTGACTCTCTGAAAATTGTCCTGCAGGCCGTTTACTCATTCAATGAACATTTATTGAGCATGAGACACTATGCCAGATGCTGGGAAGCACTGCAGTGAATAGAAACTCTCCCTTGCACAGTGTGGTGTGGGAGAAAGATCTGTAAGCAGATAGTTATCTAGAATGACAGTGGTGGAATAAACACAGTGCACTGCTATGGAAAGAGCCACGCAGAACTGGGTCCAGATCCCAGCTCCACAGCTTACCATTGCGTAACCTTCAATAATTATGAGTCCCAACTTCCTGATCAATATAATGAGGACATCTTGATAGATTTGTTTTGAGAAATCAGTAAGGAAATATATGCATAAAAGCAAGTGCTGTGCCTGAGATGTAGGAGATATTTAACAAAAGGAAGCCACTGCTGCTGCTTTGGACATAGGGACTTTGGAGAAAATAAGACAAAAAATCACTCTGCCCCCCAAAACAGAACAATTACTGCTTGGTTCCCCCAAGCAGTAATATGTGAACAAGGTCTTGAAGGATATTGTTCCAGATATTTATTTCTGTGCGACAAACAAAACTTACAGCCTTAAAACACTCATCTTATTTTGCTCCTGATGTGTTGGTGAGGAATTCAGGAAGGGCTCAGATGGGTTGTTCATCTCTGATCCACACAGTGTCCATGGAGGCAGTTGAGGCTGAAGGATCCACTTCCCAGAAGGTCCCTCACTTGCCTGTCTAGTATCTCGGTGTTCCTCAGACTCTCCTTCTCTTCACACAGCATCTCATTCTCCAGGGCTTCTCCACATGGCTTGGGCTTCACACCAGCATGGCAGTCTCAGGGTAGTCAGATCAATTCACAGCAGCTGGCTTCCTCCAGCACCTGCTTTCCAAGTAGTAGGAAGTGGAAGCTGCAAGTCTCTGAGGCCTGGGCTTGTCCTGTTCTAGTGGTTAAGCATTCACAGAGCCTAGCCAGATTCGATGTGAAGGAATATAGATCCCATCTCTCAATGAAAGGAGTAGCAAAGATTTGCAGCCATCTTTAATCTATCACAGATGTGTGGGAAATCCTTAGAGAACTGGAGAGAAGCATTTCCAGTTAGAGAGAACAGACTGTGTGGACAGAGGCTACAGGTGGACCCAGTTTGGAGTATAAGGCACACAGTTGGAGGCAGGGTCGAGTGGGCTAGTGCCTATTCAACTTCTTAAATACTTTTTATGTTGCACCTGTGCAGGAACTACAAAGCCTCATCACTACCTTGAAAGTAAGAAAATTGACCCTCTAATTTGGCATTTCTCATCCTGGTGATGTCATATCTTGTGATGATGGAAAAAGTCTAGTGCTTAGTGATTATTAAGCAAGCTCCTCTACAATCACTCTCTCTCATTCTTCCATCCTTACAATCAAATCTTTTTTGACTCCTTACTGAACCCTGGACCACATTTACTACAGTATTTAACATTGTATACATTTTTACCCCTGATTCCCCCACCGAACTATAAGCACCTAAGGTTGGACCTGCGTTTCCCATCTCCTGCCCCTAGCTCCATGTCTGGCCCATGCTGAGCTGGGAGCAGTTTTAGTTCTGGGAAAGCATAATAAATATGGTTTAATTTATGCCCTTGAGGGACTTCTCTTGTTGAAGGGCAGTGAAATAAAGGCAAACCACTGCAATGTACTGTGGCAAACACAGAGCTAAAGGAGACATAGAGCCATGAAGGAGAGGTGCCTAAGCTAGCAGGTAGAGTTATTTGGGACTCTATTGGTCTCCAGGTGATTTTATAAGAAACATACACATACACAGTGAAAAAGTGGTTAGGATACAAATTTAAAAGAGATAAAATTCTCTGAGCACCTTTTTTAGGGAGAGGCATATGTTCTAGGGGTGTGATTATATGTTAACCATATAAATGATATAACTAAACCTTGGTTGGTTGTTGATTTTGGTAAACTTTTGCATAAGCTGACCTTAAAGGTGAACTCTGGATGACTAGACACCTCTGCCTGTCTTCTCTACTGCCCCTCTGACCTACTGTTCCCTCATTTTAACTATCACTCAAGTAACTAATGAATTTCAGACTAAGCTTGGCATTCTCAACCAGTAAAATTCACCCCCTTGCTTTTCAGCCCACACCCAGATTTTCCTCTTGGTGTGAGATCATTCAGAGTATATCATGGGGAAAGTTATCGGAAGCAGAGGGAGGAACAAGAGCCAGGCTGCCTGCCATGATGAGCCAGCCCTCAGGTCTGCCCACACATTCTCCATTTTTTGGTTTTTCTTCCTCCAGTTTTGCTGCTTTTTCCTCTGTCATCTGTTTCAAAGAACCCTCATAAATAAGCATTAAAAGTCAGCTTAATCAGCTCTTTACAATGTTTATATAATTTAAAGGGAACTCAAAGAACATCTCACTCAACATCTTACTTTACAGAATAAGAATTGAGCCTCAAATATAGTCAATATTTTCCCCAATGTCACAGAATCAGGGTTTCTGAACCCACTAAAGCAAGTTGGCTTTCCTAGCATGTCCGAGAAGTCAAGAGAAGAAAATCTGTAGTCTTAGCTATGAAGCGCTGTGAGCAAGAATCACCGGAGTGCTACTTTTAAAAAACATAACCTGTTCCACCAATGTGATTACAGATGGTCTGAGAACATCTCAGATTTACCCAGATTCAAGGCAGTAGACCTTCCAAAACAGGCAAAGCCTTCTAAATCAATTCAGGGAATAAAGCCAGACATGCATACTCCCTAAGAAAAAATACTTACATACAAGCATCTTTTCTAACTAAAAAGAATATTCATCAATTGATTTGAATATGAAAATAGGTTTTTAATAAAAATTTACTCTAAGAATAAGGCAAATTTGTGTGGTTTCCTTCAAGGGTCAAATTCTTACCATCCATAGAGAGGTAATGGTGGTCATGTTGCTTAAAATTTTGTGAGTATAAAATGATGGGTAAATCCTGAATGATACAAATAGTGCTTTATTAACACACAAGTGACATAGTTGAACTGCTATAAAATAGTCTCTTCTTTAACCAGCAGAAAGGAAATTGGTTTATATAATAGCAATTATATAATTAGAAGGAACTACAATCATGTTTGACTATTTTGCCTCCATAACTATTCTATGATAGAAACAAAATACTATTTATGTTATCCTCTCATTGAAGCCAATAAAAATTATAAGGCAGCTGATTTTATTTAAAGATGTCTATATATTACAGATTCCTTTTAGATTTAGCTACCACAAAAAATAACTTGGCTACAAATATGGATGGCTGGATAATTTAATAGCATACTATCTCAGCCAAATCAAATCAAAACATAGTGAACTTCTATCTTCTACCCAAGTGATTTTTCTTTAACTGTTTTTCTCCAAGCGTTCTTGAAATGTTCTGACTCGCTGGTTGTCTGACTTCTCATTAGTAACTGCAGACATCCAGAATGACACTGTGCAGAGCATTTAAGAGTCAGTCTTGCAGATAAGTGTAAGACTCAGCCGGATAATGAACCAAAGCACAGCTGGTTAGGAGCACCAGATGACAGAGCTCTGGGTGGGGGGAAGGAGGGTGAAAAAAGAAAAAAAGAAGTTGCTTATTTATCAGTCTATGCTCATCTAGACTAGCTGAAGTAATTTCCCAGTTGCCAAGAGCATAGGAAAAAGCATTATTTGACAAGGAGGCCTCTTTCTGCTAACGTACAAGCAGGCCCACGCACAAGGGCAACTCTCAAGTATACAGTTCTAACACTTCTGTTGGGTCAAGGTTGACTGAGACTCTTGGTTGGACAGTTTTCTGATACGTATCAAGCATTAAGATGAAAAAAGCTCCACAGGATATTCCACCTGGAAGTCTGCTTTTCAGATAGACAAATCATGGATGAAAATAAGTGAAACATAAAAAATAAATGACTAGTTCGGAGGAAAAAAGTAATAATATTGCTAAACACAAGGGAAGAGAAATCCATGGGCCACTTCGGTGGAATTTTGAAGTTCCTGAATAGGGTACATGTTTTCTTTTTTGTTTGTTTTCCTTAAGAGGTCCTTAAAATATCTAGCTCAAATTTATGATATCTTTTGATCAATTTCCTCTTTGTTTACAGCACATTGTTTTCCTAGGTTTTACTTTCTTCTGTATCTTCACAAAGTTAAGCCTCTTTTTAAATTTTGTATAGTTTATAATAAGAATATAAGTTGCCTGAGGACATGAAACAAATACATTACCTTTGTATCATCCAAGATGGCTTACATAGTGCTGCGTGTTTAATTGGCTATTTCCTATATCCACATGTCTCATTCCCAGGAAATAATGAAGTACCTTACCTTAAAAAAATACTTTATATGTTATCACTCCAAGATAATATTCATACATTAGTATTTTTAATTCAAAGGAGTGAGTAAAGGAAAATGTATAGTTCAAAGGCTGGTTGAGGACAGGAGTCAAGCATGAAGATATTCTGGAGCATAGAGCATTGGGGTAAACCTTCCATTCCAGAAGAGAGGTTTTTGCTACCTCCATGGCACCTAATGTTAGACCTGGCTCTGTCTCTGGTGTAGGGACAGCAAGATGGTGTATTTTATTTAGGTCATATGCTTGCCAGTTCTTTTTTAATTGCATAATGTCATTTCATACCAAATGATACAATAGAAAGTCTGAAAACCATAATTCTAAATAATGTTTAGTCAATATGAGTCAAGATACATTAAAATAGAAGTCATTTCTCAATAATAAAAAGGAACACTCAGAAAAGGAATCCTGTTTTCTCTCTAAATAAAAGCATTTTCAAATTAATCTGAGTTTATACATTATTCTCTCCCAGCGAAACAATATTAGATTGATGATATATTGAGACTTTTCTTCCTCCAGGGTAACAATCATTTGAGGAGGTAAAATAACTGTTTTTGTTAATGGGACACTGTTGTGTATGATTCTATATTTAATTTCACATTGTTGCTCTCTTCTAAATGTTAGGTGGTTTTGAACATAAAAAGACATTGTAATGCTAAATAGTTGGCAAGTGTATATTGCTTCCTCAATAATATTAGCTTCTTGTTCTTGATGCATTATATTTGCTTGAATTATTTTAAAATACTATGTAACTGATCATAATGTCTTTTTCCCCTTTTCCTTTTCCTAAAGACTGATGTATCTGGCTATATCTAGTGTAGACCATAGCTAGATATTTTGTAGTCAAGTTTAAGTTAACACCAACTTATGATATTTGGTGACAAAAACAAAAAACGGACTTTCAAAAGCCACTGAGGTTCCCCAGAATTTTATTTCTACGCCATGAAGTATTTATTAGCACCAAGGAGAAACCAGAAAAACTAGCACTTTTGCTATAACTTCCTTTCCTTATTCCTGGCTCATTTCTGATAAAAGTGTTAGAAGCAGAGAAATGACAAAAATAAAAGACTAGAAGACATGAGGAAGAAACAGCTAACAGCTAACATGGATAATTTACAACCAGTTCCTGACTCAACTCAGGAAAGCTATGTCAAAGAGGTAAGCTTATTGGAGTCTTAATAGTCTTTACAGTCTCCGTTTTTAAATGTTACCTAGCACAGGAAAAAAAAAAGTTCACCGATTGTTTAATTAATGACTCCATGATCTGTTAATCTATAATTTATCTCTTACAATTTTTCTTTTATCAAAAGTCTCTTTCCCAACACTGGATTTTTTTCAGTGTGTCTCCTATTTATAGCTTATTCCTTCTCCTTCACAAATTAATTATTATCTAGCCATGGGGCCCTCTTGTCTATTCACTCAATGCTTTCTCTAGGAGCTTTGGACACTATCCACAGTGTTAGTTACCTGTATACAGATGACTCACAAATTCATGTCTCTAGCCCAGACGTCTCCCTGAGTTCTAGCCATACATCTAATAGTTTACACTTGACCTCTCCAATTGGACATATAAAGAATCCATAATCTTAATGATCCCACCTCACCCCAACCAAATATGGTTTTCTTCCAGTGTTCCCTATCTCAGTAAGTGACACTACCACCTACACATTATCCTTGGCAACTTCTACACTTTCCCCTTATCTTGAAACCACTCTCTTTTCACTCTTCTCTGGTATCACCAACTTCAAGATGCCATCATCTCTCACCCCTAGTATTATTTTGCCCTTACTATATCCACTGACATACTAATAAAAGTAAAGATAAAATGGGGCTATGCCCTACAAGTTCAAGGCCATTGCAATTACTCAATACCCCAGGACACCAGGGTAAGGAAACATTTTCGATTTGTATAGCTCCCAACGATTTACACCTATACCTTAGACCAACATACACAAACATATACACATACACATGCTATTCACACCACAGCGTAGTTGCTGCCTATAGCAAGTTCAGTATTCTTTACTATTTATCTTTCTGCTCTTCCCATCCATCTAGCCTTGCAAACTTCCCAGTACAAATTTTAATTGCAAGGCCAAGATCTACAGCTCTCTTATCTTAATGGGATATTTATTCAGCACTTGCTCAAGGTGAATGCCGATGACTGCCAAAGTCAAGACCTGAATAGATTTAGTCATAGATAGTGAGGTATAGATTTCACACTTTATTTTTACCACCTCTTCAGAACAGGCCTAAAACAATGACATTCATCAGGTTAATTTATATGTTGCAGTATTTTAGAAGACAATCTGGTGTGATGGATTTATGGGCTGTGAAAAACCAGGGTCTAAGCCCAGATCCCCCACATTACCCACTTACTAGCTGGGTAATGTCAGGCAAACTACTTAACCTAAGAGGACTGTTGGGAGTTTTGAATCTGAAAATATAGAATGGCAACAAGGATGGTGCTGTGATTTCAGACTTCAGAGGATTGGCTTTGGAGTCAGAAAAACCTGACTTTAAGGTTAAGTCTATCACTTACAAGACCTTAGGACAATTTCTTAACCTTCCCTGGACCCCAATTTCCTCATGTGTAAAATGGAGATAATTCTACATATCCCACAGGGTTGTATTAAAGATCAAATTAATTCAGGGACAAGTGTTTGGCACAGCAACTGGCAGTAGGTGGGACACAGTGGCACTCGTGATGGGGAAAAGAAACTAGGAGAAAATGAGATGCATGCCATGCAGGTCCTTGGCCAGGGAAAGGGGAAAGGGATGTCGAGTGAGCTGTTGCCAGCCGAATCGAAGAGCAGAGAGAGAAGAGAATAAGAAAACCAGGAAACAGAGTGACCTGCAGCCAGAAATCGATCACCAGTCAGTGAAAAGTGAGAAGAGATAATGAAAAAAGCACCCAAAGTAAAGGAAATGAGAGACCACACAGTCCCAAAGAGAGAATATTGGAGATGAGGACTTCCTGATGATTTTCAATTCCTGTGGAGCCGCCTATAATTCATTAGTGTGTGATTTCTCTGCATTAT